>NW_025791777.1:1946398-2101585 GCF_000001405.40 Homo sapiens | reverse complement strand
GATCTTAAACTCCTGGCCTCAAGCAATCTCCCACCTTAGCCTCCCAAAGTGCTAGGATTAGAGGTGTGGACCACCGTGCCTTGCCCAAGAAAATTAATTAGAGTAAGAGAAAGGGAATAAATGATGAAGCAAAAAGGAGAGGTTAGTATTAAAATCATAAATGACGGGTTTAGGTTTTGAGAAGAGGAGAAACATAGCCTGACATCTTCAGTGCAGATATCAGGTTTAGGCTCATATATTCAGGAAAGGCTCAGAACAGATACTATGGAAACTTAAAAATACGGTTCATTAAAATATGAGAAGGCAAACCTTAACCCTAAACCTCCTTTCCTATTTAAGGGAAATAGAAAAAAATAAAGGCTAAGAGAAGTAGCTCAAAGAAATACTGATATATGTGTGTGTGTGTGTGTGTGTATTATATACGTTATACATAATATGAACCATATATATATAATATGAACTATATAATATGAATTAGATATATAATATGAACCTCTTGGAATTTAAAAAGAAATTTCTGTTATCATATATTGAGTCTCCATAGTATCTTTTCTGACCCCTTCCTGAATATATGAGCCCTAAACCTGAAATCTGCACTGAAGATGTCCGGCTATGTGTGAGCACTTTTCTTCATACTGAAAACACTAGTACTTACTCCACCTTCCTTCTCTGATATATTATATATTATAAATATATGTATATTTTCTTGAGACAGTGTCTCATTCTGTCACTCAGGCTGAAGTGCAGTGGTACAATCATGGCTCACTGAAGCTTCAACCTCCTGGGCTCAAGTAATCCTTCTGCTTCAGCCTCCCAAACAGCTAGGACCACAGGTGTGTGCCCAGGCTGGTCTCACCTGGGCTCAGGCAATCCTCCTGCCTTGGCCTCTCAAAGTACTGGGATTACAGGCATGAGCCACCACGCCCAGCCCTAATATTTTTTAAAAAACAAAAATAAAATAAGTAAAAGGAAGACAGTCATTCAGTCAAATGCCCTTCAGACATTTTGAGTTTTTTATCATAAGCAGGTATTGCTTATTCCAAGAAGTAAGTACACTTTTGATTTTTAAAAGATCTGATTTTAAAGCACTTTAAACTTCAAAGTTCCACAGGAATAGAGACTCCACCTGGCAGCAGAAAGACACAGCAAAGAACATGTTAGATGATAGAGGGCTATAGTGCTTAAATAGTAGCCTCCCCCAACAAAAGATAAAAAGATATAGCCATATCCTAATCACCAGAATCTGTAAAGATGGTCTCATTTGAAAAAGGAATCTTTGCAGATATAATTAAGAATCTTGTGGATTACCTGGGTGGTCCCTAAATCCAGTGACAAGTGTTCTTATAAGATAGAGAAGGAGAAGACCCAGATACCCAGAGAAGGTCACGTGAAGATGGAGGCAGACATGGGAGGGAGGTAGCCATAAGCCAGGGGAATACCTGGAGCCACCAGGAGCTGGAAGAGGCTAGGAAAGGAACAGAATGTCCCCTGGAAGCACAGCCCCGCTGCTGCCTTGACTGCAGAGTTATGGCTTCCAGAACTTCACAGAATAAATTTCTGTTAGCCAAGCATTGTGGCTCACACCTATAATCCCAGCTACCCACAAGGCAAAGGTAGGAGGATGATCTGAGGCCAGGAGTTCAAGACCAGCTGGAGCAACATACCAAGACATTCATCTCTAAATAAATACATAAATTGCTGTTGCTTTAAGCCACTCAATTTGTGATAATTTGTTACAACAGCCCTAGGAAACTAATAAAAGGTAAGCTATAAAAATTGTAACACCAGGCCCAGCATGTTGGCTCAGGCCTGTAATCCCAGCACATTGGGAGGCTAAGGCAGAAGGATCCTTGAGGCCAAGAATTTGAGACCAGCCTGGCCAACATAGCAAGATCCTGTTTCTCTAAAAGAAAAAAATATAATACCAGATTAAATGGAGACCACAATACGAATTTCATATAGATAATGCAACGGCCATCTGTGCAAAAGTAAGCAAAGCCGAAGTTTCTATTTAGATAAATAAAGCATATAGGTAGGCATGGTCACTGTGTAACAGTAAAATATACCATAAACAATTACAACCAACTATGTTGATAGAAAAATCAAAAAGATATATAATAATTGCAAGTATAGATTAATCAGAATATTAATAAAAATATGACAAACTTAAATCCAATAAAGAAATGAAAACACAATAGCAGCATCTGTATTATAAATATTCCAACCATGCAAAAAAAATTACAGAATAACAAACATCCATTAGCCTAATACCTAATCTTAATAAACCTTGACATTAAGCAAAATTTACTTCAGATCATTTTTTTAAGGAATAAAGTATTTGACCAGGCGCGGTGGCTCATGCCTGTTATCCCAGCACTTTGGGAGGCCGAGGCGGGCGGATCACGAGGTCGGCAGATCACGAGGTCAGGAGATCGAGACCATCCTGGCTAATGTGGTGAAACCCTGTCTCTACTAAAAATACAAAAAATTAGCCGGGCATGGTGGTGGGCGCCTGTAGTCCCAGCTACTCAGGAGGCTGAGGCAGGAGAATAGCGTGAACCCGGGAGGCAAAGTTTGCAGTGAGCCGAGGTAGCACCACTGCACTCCAGCCTGGGCAACAGAGCAAGACTCCATCTCAAAAAAAAAAAAAGAAAAAAAAAGGAATAAAGTATTTGAGATATAGTTGAAGCGCCTATCTACCTCCTACCTCATCCCTGTCTCTTCCTTCCCACCTCAGAGGCAACCACTGTTCTAAAGCTGAGTGTATCGCTCCCACGTGCATGTTTATACACAAATAATATACAGTAGGATTCGATGTATTTAACCTTTACATACATAGTAAATAGCCATATATTGATTCTACTATGTTTTTTACTCAATCTACTTTTTGAGACTTATATTGACAGATGCAATTTTAGTTCATTCCTTTTAACAGACAAAAACTGTATTATTAATCTCCCATGAATGAACAGTTAGGTTATTCTCTAACTTTTGCTCTAACAAACAATGCTATAATGAACTTTTCTTTTCTTTTTCTTTTGTGAGACAGGGTCTCATTCTGTTTCTCAGGCTGGAGTGCAGTGGTGCAACCACAGCTCGCTGTAGCCTCAAACTCCAAGGCTCAAGTGATCCTCCTACCTCAGCCTCCTGAAAGCTGGAACCATAGGCATGTGCCACACCACACTCGGCTAATTTTTTATTTTTTTGTAGAGACAGGGTCTCCCTATGTTGCCCAGGCTGGTCTCTCACTCCTGGACTCAAGTGATCCTCTCACTTCAGCCTCCCAAAGTGCTGGGATTTCAGGCACAAGTCACAGTGCCTGGCCATGAATTATTCTTCTAAGTATCTCTTCATACATATATCAGAGTTTCCCTAGGGTATAGCCCTAAAAAAGGAATTACTGGAGCCCTTTCTTTTTAAACCCTGTTTTCCTTTTAAAAACCTGTTCTTTGTTTGTTTGAGACGGAGTCTCACTTCGTCGCCAGGCTGGAGTGCAGTGGCATGATCTCAGCTCACTGCAACCTCTGCCTCCCAGGTTCAAGCATTTCTCCTGCCTCAGTCTCCCAAGTTGCTGGGACTACAGGCATGTGCCACCACGCCCAGCTAATTTTTTGTATTTTTAATAGAGACGGGGTTTCACCGCGTTAGCCAGGATAGTCTCGATCTCCTGACCTCGTGATCCCCCCACCTCGGCCTCCCAAAGTGCTGGGATTCCAGGCGTGAGCCACCGCGCCTGGCCTAAAACCTGTTTTAATAATCTTATTACAGTATAGGAGTATTCCTATAGTTAATAAAAAGCTCTAATTGGAGACAACCTTTAGATACTCTCTGTGGAAAAAGATTAGATTTTGGGGAGGAGCCAAGATGGCCGAATAGGAACAGCTCCGGTCTACAGCTCTCAGCGTGAGCGACGCAGAAGACGGGTGATTTCTGCATTTCCATCTGAGGTACTGGGTTCATCTCACTAAGGAGTGCCAGACAGTGGGCGCAGGTCAGTGGGTGCGCGCACCGTGTGCGAGCCGAAGCAGGGCGAGGCATTGCCTCACTTGGGAAGCGCAAGGGGTCAGGGAGTTCCCTTTCCGAGTCAAAGAAAGGGGTGACGGACGCACCTGGAAAATCGGGTCACTCCCACCCGAATATTGCGCTTTTCGGACCAGCTTAAAAAACGGCGCACCAGGAGATTATATCCCGCACCTGGCTCGGAGGGTCCTACGCCCACGGAGTCTCGCTGATTGCTAGCACAGCAGTCTGAGATCAAACTGCAAGGCGGCAGCGAGGCTGGGGGAGGGGCGCTCGCCATTGCCCAGGCTTGCTTAAGGTAAACAAAGCAGCCAGGAAGCTCGAACTGGGTGGAGCCCACCACAGCTCAAGGAGGCCTGCCTGCCTCTGTAGGCTCCCCTCTGGGGGCAGGGCACAGACAAACAAAAAGACAGCAGTAACCTCTGCAGACTTAAATGTCCCTGTCTGACAGCTTTGAAGAGAGCAGTGGTTCTCCCAGCACACAGCTGGAGATCTGAGAACGGGCAGACTGCCTCCTCAAGTGGGTCCCTGACCCCTGACCCCCGAGCAGCCTAACTGGGAGGCACCCCCCAGCAGGGGCACACTGACATCTCACACGGCAGGGTATTCCAACAGACCTGCAGCTGAGGGTCCTGTCTGTTAGAAGGAAAACTAACAAACAGAAAGGACATCCACACCAAAAACCCATCTGTACATCACTATCATCAAAGACCAAAAGTAGATAAAACCACAAAGATGGGGAAAAAACAGAACAGAAAAACTGGAAACTCTAAAACGCAGAGCACCTCTCCTCCTCCAAAGGAACGCAGTTCCTCACCAGCAACGGAACAAAGCTGGATGGGGAATGACTTTGATGAGCTGAGAGAAGAAGGCTTCAGACGATCAAATTACTCTGAGCTACGGGAGGACATTCAAACTAAAGGCAAAGAAGTTGAAAACTTTGAAAAAAATTTAGAAGAATGTATAACTAGAATAACCAATACAGAGAAGTGCTTAAAGGAGCTGATGGAGCTGAAAACCAAGGCTCGAGAACTACGTGAAGAATGCAGAAGCCTCAGGAGCTGAAGCGATCAACTGTAAGAAAGGGTATCAGCAATGGAAGATGAAATGAATGAAATGAAGCGAGAAGGGAAGTTTAGAGAAAAAAGAATAAAAAGAAATGAGCAAAGCCTCCAAGAAATATGGGACTATGTGAAAAGACCAAATCTACGTCTGATTGGTGTACCTGAAAGTGATGGGGAGAATGGAACCAAGTTGGAAAACACTCTGCAGGATATTATCCAGGAGAACTTCCACAATCTAGCAAGGCAGGCCAACGTTCAGATTCAGGAAATACACAGAACACCACAAAGATACTCCTCGAGAAGAGCAACTCCAAGACACATAATTGTCAGATTCACCAAAGTTGAAATGAAGGAAAAAATGTTAAGGGCAGCCAGAGAGAAAGGTCGGGTTACCCTCAAAGGGAAGCCCATCAGACTAACAGCGGATCTCTCGGCAGAAACCTACAAGCCAGAAGAGACTAGGGGCCAATATTCAACATTCTTAAAGAAAAGAATTTGCAACCCAGAATTTCATATCCAGCCAAACTAAGCTTCATAAGTGAAGGAGAAATAAAATCCTTTACAGACAAGCAAATGCTGAGAGATTCTGTCACCACCAGGCCTGCCCTAAAAAAGGAAGCGCTAAACATGGAAAGGAACAACCGGTACCAGCCACTGCAAAAATCAAGCCAAAATGTAAAGACCTTCAAGACTAGGAAGAAACTGCATCAACTAGCAAGCAAAATCACCAGCTAACATCATAATGACAGGATCAAATTCACACATAACAATATTAACTTTAAATGTAAATGGACTAAATGCTCCAATTAAAAGACACAGACTGGCAAACTGGATAAAGAGTCAAGACCCATCAGTGTGCTGTATTCAGGAAACCCATCTCACGTGCAGAGACACACATAGGCTCAAAATAAAAGGATGGAGGAAGATCTACCAAGCAAATGGAAAACAAAAAAAGGCAGGGGTTGCAATCCTAGTCTCTGATAAAACAGACTTTAAACCAACAAAGATCAAAAGAGACAAAGAAGGCCATTACATAATGGTAAAGGGATCAATTCAACAAGAAGAGCTAACTATCCTAAATATATATGCACCCAATACAGGAGCACCCAGAGTCATAAAGCAAGTCCTGAGTGACCTACAAAGAGACTTAGACTCCCACACATTAATAATGGGAGACTTTAACACCCCACTGTCAACATTAGACAGATCAACGAGACAGAAAGTCAACAAGGATACCCAGGAATTGAACTCAGCTCTGCACCAAGCGGACCTAATAGACATCTACAGAACTCTCCACCCCAAATCAACAGAATATACATTTTTTTCAGCACCACACCACACCTATTCCAAAATTGACCACATACTTGGAAGTAAAGCTCTCCTCAGCAAATGTAAAAGAACAGAGATTATAATAAACTATCTCTCAGACCACAGTGCAATCAAACTAGAACTCAGGATTAAGAATCTCACTCAAAACTGCTCAACTACATGGAAACTGAACAACCTGCTCCTGAATGACCACTGGGTACATAACGAAATGAAGGCAGAAATAAAGATGTTCTTTGAAACCAACAAGAACAAAGACACAACATACCAGAATCTCTGGGACGCATTCAAACAGTGTGTAGAGGGAAATTTATAGCACTAAATGCCCACAAGAGAAAGCAGGAAAGATCCAAAATTGACACCCTAACATCACAATTAAAAGAACTAGAAAAGCAAGAGCAAACACGTTCAAAAGCTAGCAGAAGGCAAGAAATAACTAAAATCAGAGCAGAACTGAAGGAAATAGAGACACAAAAAACCCTTCAAAAAATTAATGAATCCAGGAGCTGGTTTTTTGAAAGGATCAACAAAATTGATAGACCGCTAGCAAGACTAATAAAGAAAAAAAGAGAGAAGAATCAAATAGACGCAATAAAAAATGATAAAGGGGATATCACCACCGATCCCACAGAAATACAAACTACCATCAGAGAATACTACAAACACCTCTACGCAAATAAACTAGAAAATCTAGAAGAAATGGATAAATTCCTCGACACACAAACTCTCCCAAGACTAAACCAGGAAGAAGTTGAATCTCTGAATAGACCAATAACAGGAGCTGAAATTGTGGCAATAATCAATAGTTTACCAACCAAAAAGAGTCCAGGACCAGATGGATTCACAGCCGAATTCTACCAGAGGTACAAGAAGGAACTGGTACCATTCCTTCTGAAACTATTCCAATCAGTAGAAAAAGAGGGAATCCTCCCTAACTCATTTTATGAGGCCAGCATCATTCTGATACCAAAGCCGGGCAGAGACACAACCAAAAAAGAGAATTTTAGACCAATATCCTTGATGAACATTGATGCAAAAATCCTCAATAAAATACTGGCAAAACGCATCCAGCAGCACATCAAAAAGCTTATCCACCATGATCAAGTGGGCTTCATCCCTGGGATGCAAGGCTGGTTCAATATATGCAAATCAGTAAATGTAATCCAGCATATAAACAGAGCCAAAGACAAAAACCACATGATTATCTCAATAGATGCAGAAAAAGCCTTTGACAAAATTCAACAACCCTTCATGCTAAAAACTCTCAATAAATTAGGTATTGATGGGACGTATTTCAAAATAATAAGAGCTATCTATGACAAACCCACAGCCAATATCATACTGAATGGGCAAAAACTGGAAGCATTCCCTTTGAAAACTGGCACAAGACAGGGATGCCCTCTCTCACCACTCCTATTCAACATAGTGTTGGAAGTTCTGGCCAGGGCAATTAGGCAGGAGAAGGAAATAAAGGGTATTCAATTAGGAAAAGAGGAAGTCAAATTGTCCCTGTTTGCAGACGACATGATTGTATATCTAGAAAACCCCATTGTCTCAGCCCAAAATCTCCTCAAGCTGATAAGCAACTTCAGCAAAGTCTCAGGATACAAAATCAATGTACAAAAATCACAAGCATTCTTAAATACCAACAACAGACAAACAGAGAGCCAAATCATGAGTGAACTCTCATTCACAATTGCTTCAAAGAGAATAAAATACCTAGGAATCCAACTTACAAGGGATGTGAAGGACCTCTTCAAGGAGAACTACAAACCACTGCTCAAGGAAATAAAAGAGGATACAAACAAATGGAAGAACATTCCATGCTCATGGGTAGGAAGAATCAATATCGTGAAAATGGCCATACTGCCCAAGGTAATTTACAGATTCAATGCCATCCCCATCAAGCTACCAAAGACTTTCTTCACAGAATTGGAAAAAACTACTTTAAAGTTCACATGGAACCAAAAAAGAGCCCACATCGCCAAGGCAATCCTAAGCCAAAAGAACAAAGCTGGAGGCATCACACTACCTGACTTCAAACTGTACTACAAGGCTACAGTAACCAAAACAGCATGGTATTGGTACCAAAACAGAGATATAGATCAATGGAACAGAACAGAGCCCTCAGAAATAACGCCGCATACCTACATCTTATCTTTGACAAACCTGAGAAAAACAAGCAATGGGGAAAGGATTCCCTATTTAATAAATGGTGTTGGGAAAACTGGCTAGCCATATGTAGAAAGCTGAAACTGGATCCCTTCCTTACACCTTATACAAAAATCAATTCAAGATGGATTAAAGACTTAAACATTAGACCAAAAACCATAAAAACCCTAGAAGAAAACCTAGGCATTACCATTCAGGACATAGGCATGGGCAAGGACTTCATGTCCGAAACACCAAAAGCAATGGCAACAAAAGCCAAAATTGACAAATGGGATCTAATTAAACTAAAGAGCTTCTGCACAGCAAAAGAAACTACCATCAGAGTGAACAGGCAACCTACAAAATGGGAGAAAATTTTCACAACCTACTCATCTGACAAAGGGCTAATATCCAGAATCTACAATGAACTCAAATTTACAAGAAAAAAACAAACAACCCCATCAAAAAGTGGGTGAAGGACATGAACAGACACTTCTCAGAAGAAGACATTTATGCAGCCAAAAAACACATGAAAAAATGCTCGTCATCACTGGCCATCAGAGAAATGCAAATCAAAACCACAATGAGATACCATCTCACACCAGTTAGAATGGCAATCATTAAAAAGTCAGGAAACAACAGGGGCTGGAGAGGATATGGAGAAATAGGAACACTTTTACACTGTTGGTGGGACTGTAAACTAGTTCAACCATTGTCGAAGTCAGTGTGGCGATTCCTCAGGGATCTAGAACTAGAAATACCATTTGACCTAGCCATCCCATTACTGGGTATATACCCAAAGGACTATAAATCATGCTGCTATAAAGACACATGCACACGTATGTTTATTGCGGCATTATTCACAATAGCAAAGACTTGGAACCAACCCAAATGTCCAAAAATGATAGACTGGATTAAGAAAATGTGGCACATATACACCATGGAATACTATGCAGCCATAAAAAATGATGAGTTCATGTCCTTTGTAGGGACATGGATGAAATTGGAAATCATCATTCTCAGTAAACTATCGCAAGAACAAAAAACCAAACACCGCATATTCTCACTCATAGGTGGGAATTGAACAATGAGATCACATGGACACAGGAAGGGGAATATCACACTCTGGGGACTGTGGTGGGGTGGGGGGAGCGGGGAGGGATAGCATTGGGAGATATACCTAATGCTAGATGACGATTTAGTGGGTGCAGCGCACCAGCATGGCACATGTGTACGTATGTAACTAACCTGCACAATGTGCACATGTACCCTAAAACCTAAAGTATAAAAAAAAAAAAAAGATTAGATTTTGTGTTAAATTCTGTTTTACTTTCAAGCCATCCCAGAGTACCTAATTCGTAAAGATACTTAAGAGTAAAAAGCACCACTGTACACTTTATTCATGAAAAATTACCTGTGCAATATTTTTAGAAGACATAATTGCCTGATTATAGAATGTACGGCCAAAGTGGTCTCGATCTGGAAACACATCTGCTTGTCGAGGTAAGTATGCTCCTCCCGAATCAACTGAAGACAAGAAATGAGAAACATAAGCATCTCTATGAACTAAATGTGCTACGCAGAGGGAAACTTGTATCAATGACAGCATCAGTTCTTAATCACATTCACAAAAAACTTGCCCTGTCTTTCTAAACTGTTATAGAGCCTCGTTCTCCAAACCCCCAATGCAGCCAAAAGGATTCATTGCCCCAAACCCATCAGGCTTTCCCACCTCTGTGCAAAATTCTTCTCGAAATGGTTAGAACCTTCTCTCCTTTGAGGACCAGCTAAAGCCCCAGAAACATCATAAATTCTTAAAGAGTTAAGGTGGAAAAGTATCTTTCCTTCTTCTAAACCAATACAAAAGCCATCCACAGAATTCATATAATAATTTATACATATTGCCTTCTGATACTGTTTTCATTGCAGATTGGAGTGGTGGGTACACAGGTCAGTTGCGTTCAAAGCAGAGCTCATGACTTCACAGCTGTGTGATTATAGGTGTGTTTCCTAGCCATCCTATGCCCCGGTTTCCTTACCCACGAAATGAAGATAAAAAAAGGAGCCATATCATATATTAGGATGACTTGAAAAATGTATAGAAAGCACTTAGTTCAGAATCTGCAACCATTAAGTCTTTTGTTGGTTGCACATTATATGCTGTGTCCAATTCATTATGAGCTCGCTGAAGACAGAGACAACAAAATCCTCCTCACTGTATCCCCTATAAAGACCAGCACAGCACCTACAAGCAGCTGGGCCTCATTTGCTGTTTTCTCTACGTGCAGAGCAGTTCGTATTGTGAGTTAATCAGGTAAATTCAACTTCACAGAAAAACACAAAACAAAAAATACCTCTACATCAGTACCCGTTCAAATACCTGCATACATGAACAACGTATGTTGGAATTTTATCAGACTAACCCAGTATCAGGAAAGGCCCATTTTTTTTTTTTTTTTTTTTTTTTGAGACAGTCTCTCTCTCTGTCGCCCAGGCTGGAGTACAGTGGCACGATTTCAGCTCACTGCAAGCTCCGCCTCCCAGGTTCACACCATTCTCCTGCCTCAGCCTCCCAAGTAGCTGGGACTACAGCTGCCTGCCACCACGCTCGGCTAATTTTTTGTATTTTTTTTTAGTAGAGACGAGGTTTCAGTGTGTTAGCCAGGATGGTCTCCATCTCCTGACCTCATGATCCGCCTGCCTCGGCCTCCCAAAGTGCTGGGATTACAGGCGTGAGCCACCGCGCCCGGAGGAAAGGCCCATTTTAAACTGCTTTGCTTTCAGGTTCTTTGATTTAAATGTGTTTTAATTTCAAATATAAGTTTACTTTCACTGGAAATTAAATTTACTTTAAATTACATCTGCTCAAATTATATAATACTTGCACATTTAACTCAGTACCTGGCACTCAAGAGATCTATAAATACTTGCTACTATTTTTTTCATAGTATGATCCATAAAGTTAAAAGAAAAACAGGATCTAGAGAACAAAAAAAAAAAACCACACAACACATAGAGAAAAAAACTGGCATGCGTCAAAATGTATGAGTATTATGCACTAGTACTATGAACAGTTCTTGTTTACTTTCCCCCAGAGTTTTCAGCAAAGAACCTGTGTTTCCTTTATAATTACAGGAGAAATCAACAGGTTTATAAAATACCCATCCCAAATGTAATACATACAGCCTTCCAAACTATCTTGCATTTTACCAGCTAATAATAGTTTATTTTACCACTCTGGTGACTTGCCTAAGTAGATGCAGGGGAGCCTGTTTTGCATGGCAATTTCTTGGGCCCGTAATTGTTTTTTCACAGTCACTGGGTAGTAGGCACCTCCTTTGACGGTGGCATCATTGGCAATAATCATGCATTCTACTCTGAAAGGCAGAAATTTCATTGGAGAGAGAATTTAAGAGATTTCTTCAAAACTAATTACACTCATTACAAGATACCCCAATACAACCTTCAACTTCTAGTACGTATCACTATTAACATCCATTAGCAGACAGCAGTCTTAGGATATAAATGCAAACTTTAATCACAGTTCACATATTAATTTATATAATACAAAACAATTACTTCTAACAAGTTTATAAACTCACACTTGGTTTTTGAAAAGTCATCAGTCCTAGATTAGTAATAAAAAACTAACAACCTAAGCCTTGTGTCATAATGGTTCTTTGAATGAAAAGGTCCTAATAAGATGAAAATAATAATGAAAAAAAAAATCCAAGTCTCAAGGGAAAAGAATTCCCTCATAATAAACCTTCAAAGTCTCCTTTTAGGAGGGTATTTTGCAAAAATGAAAACTGACCTTTAGTACTAAGATTTATTTTTTGTATTCTTGTTCTTCAACATTACAGCCCCATGGTTTTCTACAAAACTAAATGTAGTCTAAAATATAACGTTCATCTTAACTGAAGTCAGAATGAATGCAAACTTTAATATACTAAAAACACATGAAAGGTATCCTGAGTCATCAACAGTGCCCTTTCTCACCAAAACCAGTTTATTGGGTATGAGTCACAAAGAGCAGGGCGGCCAACAACCACAGCTGGTTGGGGAAACTGTACAGCACTGGCAGGAAACCTTAAGGTCAGAGGTACCCTTGAAATCTGAGATGACAACAGTGTGCTCTTTACAAAATTCAATTTTCTTTATGTTTCTGATGTTTGTGTTACCTCACTTTATGCTGCCTACAACTCTAAAGAGTGAGTCATTAAATCCCTGCTGAAAATAGAGAACGGCAACTGAACACCCAGCACAGGGTAGTGTTGAGCTTCTCATACTAGGATATGTGGCCAGCAGGGCTCGCCACAAGACAAACAGGACTCTTCTTTGAGCATCAATTTTATTCCCTAGGTCATATAAAACCTTTTTCTGCACTGCAATGAACATTTTATAGAGTAGAATGCAAACTTTTAATGATTTAACATTAAACGAACTAGACTTCAAAGGAAATGTAGGCTTCTCATAGGTTGCTGGGCCATAACCTCACACTCCAGAGTGTGTGCTCATACTTCCTACCACTGGGGGTGCTACGCTAGAAAGTTTAAGAAGCTCTGGTACTGGAAAGAGGCCAGGCTGTGAAGTCAGACAAAGTTAGACTGAAATTCTGGCTCTGCCAACTTGTTAGTTATGTGACCATGGACAAGGGACATAGCCATATCTGCTTGTCTATTAAAGGTCACAGACTTGTTACAGAATGAGAAATCAAATTGGCCCACAAAAATACTAGATTGCATTTCTATTGGTTTTGCCTACCCAGCATCTATTATTTTGGCAACAAAACTAAACCTTCTTTCAGAAACTGCCTCTTATCTTTAATCCAGGTGGCTCAAGTAGGACTGACCCCAGAGCCTGCCTTAAAGGGGGGCACAGGGACCAGGTCTTTCTACCCAGAGTTCCCACTGAGGCTCGGCAATGGGACAGGCTCTAAGCCTAAGCAGATCTTGCCTTCCACTGCAGCTGCTAAACTTATAGAATATAAACCAGGAACTGCCTATGACCATCACTGCCTCTGGATTTAGAGAGGCTGCCTAGAAACAAAGCTGACACACAGCAAGTCAGGGCCAGGAGTAGAAAACAGCCTGGGACCTAGTAATACCTAAGACCATTTGAGCTCCCAGATACAGCCATGCCCAGACTCACCAGATAAGAGAATCAATATATCCTCTTTTTTGCTTAATTTGAGCAAATTCAGCTCATCTGTCATTTGTCAGAGAAAGAGTAGTGATGATATAAACCATTCAACAATTTTTATGTAAGAAAGGTCAATTTGAATTATAATAAAGGCCAGAGCAATGGCTCATGCTTGTGATCCCAGCACTTTGGGAGGCCAAGGCAGGAAGATCATTTGATGCCAGGAGTTTGAGGCTACAGTAAGCTATGATCATGTCACTGCACTCCAGCCTGGGCAACAGAGTAAGACCCCAACTCAAAAAAAAAAAATTATAATGATGTGCTAGCCTATATTCAACATCGTTTGAGCCCAGAAGTTCGAGATTAGCCTAGGCAACAGAGCGAGACACCATCTCTAAAAAAAACAAAAAAGGAAAAAAGAAAGAATTTATAATTAAGTACTACTTTATACCTATTAAATGACTGAATTTTTTTCAGCCATAATATCCAGTACTAGAGCATCTCTAGTTAAAAGATAAAGACTGGTCTCCTTCCTTGCCCTTGTCTCCATGGAAAGACATCTTTTTGTTTTTTTTTTGAGACGGAGTCTTGCTCTGTCACCAGGATGGAGTGCAGTGGCTCCATCTCAGCTCACTGCAACTTCTGCCTCCCAGGTTCAAGCGATTCTCCTGCCTCAGCCTCCCAAGTAGCTGGGACTACAGGCGTGTGCCACCATGCCGGCTTATTTTTTTATTTTTAGTAGAGACAGGGTTTCACCACATTGGCCAGCCTGATCTCAAACTCCTGACCTCAGGTGATCCACCCACCTCAGCCTCCCAAAGTGCTGGGATTACAGGCGTGAGCCACCACACCCAGCCAGTCCTACATAATATAAATAGCATACAAATCGCATGCTAATATGCAAAGTGAGTGCTGGATGCCTGTGCCTCATCAAAGTCTTCTTCTCAACCCACATTATGAAGCACAAGTAGAATACTCACCCTGATACTCTTCCAATGCCTGTAATAATGCCACCTCCTGGCACCTCCTCATTGTCATATAACTGGTAACCTGCAAACTGGGATAATTCCAGAAATGGAGACCTAAAGCGAAGAAAGGATGTTGTTTGAATTAATGTCATTAAAAACTACACATTTAAACAGTTACACATGGAAAAGGAAAAGATTTTTCCTCAATGGGACAATATTTCAAATACACATGTTGTATATAAAATCTATTTTTAAAAATCTAAAATGGGTGTGGTGGCTCAAGTCTGTAATCCCAGTTATTCAGGAGGCTGAGACAAGAGGACTGTTTGAGCCCAAGAGTTGGAGGCCAGCCAGGACAACATAGTGAGACCCCATCTCTTTTTTGTTGTTGTTGTTGTTTTTTGAGATGGAGTCTTGCCCTGTCACCCAGGCTGGAGTGCAGTGGCGCGATCTCAGCTCACTGCAACCTCCACCTCCTGAGTTCAAGCGATTCTCCTGCCTCAGCCTCCCGAGTAACTGGGATTACAGGCATGCGCCACCACAACCAGCTAATTTTTTGTATTTTTAGTAGAGACGGGGTTTCACCATGTTGGCCAGGCTGGTCTCAAACTCCTTACCTGAAGGTTATCTGCCCACCTCGGCCTCACAAAGTGCTGGGATTACAGGCATGAGCCACCACGCCCAGCCAAGACCCCATCTCTTAAAAACTTTTGGAGGTAGGTGGGGTGGCTCATGCCTGTAGTCCTAGCACTTTGTGGGGCTCAAGTGGGTGGACTGCTTGAGCCCAGGAGTTTGAGGCCAGCCTGAGCAACACGGGGAAACCCCATCTTTACAAAAAAAAAAAAATTTTCAACACAGCTGGGCATGATGGCACATGCCTGTGGTCCCAGCTACTTGGGAGGCTGAGGTGGAAGAATCACTTGAGCCCAGGAGGCCAAGGCTGCAGAGAACTGTGACTGTGCCACTGCACTCCAGCCTGGGCAATGGAATGAGACCCTGTCTCAAAAAACAACTAATGGCCAGGCACGGTGGCTCATGCCTGTAATCTCAGCACTTTGGGAGGCTGAGACAGGTAGATCACGTGAGGTCAGGAGTTTGAGACCAGCCTGGATAACATGGTGAAACCCCATCTCTACTAAAAATACAAAAAAAAAAAAAAAAAAAAATTAGCCAGGCGTGGAGGCACGTGCCTGTAATCCCAGCTACTCGGGAGGCTGAGGCAGGAGAATCACCTGAATCCGGAAGGCAGAGGTTTCAGTGAGCTGAGATCATGCCACTGCACCCCAGCCTGGGCAACAGGGCAAAACTCCATCTCAAAAAATAAATAATTAATTAATTAATTAAAATAAAAATCCTTTCCAAATACCAGGCTCTCTTCTAAAGGCTTTAGAAACACTCACTTATCGGCTGGTGTGGTGGCTCATGCCTGTAATCCCGGCACTTTGGGAGGCCAAGGTGGGCAGATCACGAGGTCAAGAGATTGAGACCATCCTGGGCAACATGGTGAAACCCCGTCTCTACTAAAAATACAAAAATTAGCTGGGCATGGTGGTGCACACCTGTAATCCAGCTACTCGGGAGGCTGAGGCAGGAGAATCGCTTGAACCCAGGAGGCGGAGGTTAAGTGAACGGAGATCGCGCCACTGCACTCCAGCCTGGTGACAGAGTGAGACTCCGTCTCAAAAAAAAAAAAAAAAAAAAGAAACACTCACTCATGTCCTCCTTAGAACCACCTTCTGAGGTGGATCTTATTGTGACCCTCATTTACTGATGAGGAAACTGAAACACACAGAGATCAAGTCACTTGTCTAAGGTTACACAGTAAGTAAGGGGCAGAGCCGGGAGCTTCATAAGCAATCTTGCCCCAGGGGCCAGGCTCTTAACCACTAGTCCGCCTCTCACTTACTTACATGGTCAAGATACATTAGGAGGGAAAAAAGAGAGCTGGCTACAAAACAGCAAATTTAGTACGATTTCATTTGCATTTTTAAAAAATGTAGGTGTCTGGTATATATATATGCATACAAATGGCCTAGAAGGATAATATACTAGGTGTTAACAGTGCTGTCTCCAGGTTGGATGTGTGTGCACGTGTCAGGAGAAAAAATACTTTGGGAGTTTTCACTTACCCCTCTTCTCCCCCTTACACTCCATATCCAATCCTTCAGGAAATCCTGTTGGGTTGGCTCTGTCTTCACAATACATCCAGAACCCTGCACTCCTGCCACCACCACTACTACTACCCTATGCCGAGTCCCCATCATGTCTCCCTCAAATCCTTGCAATCGCCCTCTACCTGGTCACAGGGCTTCCACCCTTGCTGCTCCATCTACTCACAACACAGCAGCCAGAAGCACTCTTTTAAGCTATGTCAGATCATAATCATCTCCTGTTCAAAACCCTACAATAGCTCCCCATTTCTCCCATGGTGAAAACCAAAACCTTTATGATAACCCACAAGGCCATACAGGATCTGACCCATCTCCTACTCCTCTCCCCTCACTCCCTCCACCACAACCACCCCAGCCTCCTGGCTGCCCCTTGAGCATACCAGCATTACCTGGCACACTCCCACCTCAGGGCCTTTGCACTGGCCATTCCCTCTGCCTGAAACACTCTTTCCCCAGAGAGTTACAAGGCTCTCTCTCTCTCTCTCCTCCTTTAAATCTTTGCTCAGACATCACCTTCTCAATGCGGCCTACCTTGGCACCACCTCTTAAAACTGCAACTTGCCCTATATCTTCCTCTCCTTTACCCTGGGCCACCTTTTCTTTTTCTCATGACATTTGTCACTTACTAACACACTACAGAATTTACAATCTTTTTTTTTTTTGAGACAGAGTCTCGCTCTGTCACCCAGGCTGGAGTGCAGTGGCACAATCTCGTCTCACTGCAACCTCTGCCTCTGGGGTTCGAGCGACTCTCCTGCCTCAGCCTCCCGAGTAGCTGGGACTACAAGCACATGCCACCATGCCCAGCTAATTTTTTGTATTTTTAGTAGAGACGGGTTTTCACCATGTTAGCCAGATGGTCTCAATCTCCTGACTTCATGATCCGCCCACCTCGGCCTCCCAAAGTGCTGGGATTACAGGAGTGAGCCACCACACCCAGCCAGAAGTTACAGTCTTTACTGTTGCTTTCTGTCTCCCTTTGCTATGATGTAAACTCTAGTAGAGCAAAGATCTGTGTCTGTTTTGGTCACTGATATATCACTAGTACCTGACCAATAGTAGGCTCTCAATAAACATGTCAACACATAGTGCTTGACACATAGTAGGCTCTCAATAAACACATGTTCCTGAATCTTACGATGAGAACTAGAATTCAAAATAACTGATTTACAAGACTGTCTAATAAAGTACTATGGAACAGAGAACACTCTGAGTCAGTACTTGGCTATGTACGCACCCTGGGTCTATGAGATTGTCAATTCTTTCTCTGGGCAATAGTTTTCCTCTTGATATGTGAAGTGCTCGGGCTTTCTCACCACCTCCTATGATAGAAATGTGATTAGATTAGATTAGATTGACACGATAAAAAGGTCTCAATGCCAGAAAAACATAATACTTAATCCAAAATATAGCACTTTTTAAAAGTTCAACATATCCTCTGAGAAAAGGCTAATAATCATTCACTCAACTTACAAGTTGCCAATTTTCTGAAGTAAATGTAAAAACTGGTATTAAAAAAAAATCAATCTATCCCTGATTTTAGAGTATATCCTAGAGTCTATGTTCTGAATTCACTAGTAGTTACATAAATTACAGAGTATTTTCTCTGCAGCTCACATATTGCAAATAATGCCTCATCTCCACCACATTTATTAAATACATGCTATGATAGATCTGGAAAATTCCTATCTTCATTTGTACCAGGTAAAAATAAAATTTTAGAAATTACTTCCATGATAAGTGCAGTAAATTTACCTAAAGATGACATTAGTGATCCGTAACTTTTTAGGCTTGCAACTGGGTGAGTTGAACACTTTAGCAATTTAAAAGTCCCCTTCCTTGACTCAGAGATTGTCTTCAGTGCTTCTCAACATTGCTCACATCATGACAGACAAAGAAAATTATAACTGAAGAGCCCACTGGAGTATTCTTGGGAATATCTATAACCCACTCTCGGCAAACCAAGGTAATGGAGCAAGAACAGAAGTATCAAATTGTACCTTTAATAATTAAAACATTAGTTTATTTTTATTGGTGTCCAAGAATTTCATCTTAATATAGTCTTTGTCTAATGAAATGTTCAGCTATTTCAGAAAGCTATTTCTTTGTTTATTTAGGCAAGAAAATAATCTCAAACGATCTTCCAAGTAGGACCTTTTTTTTTTTTTTTTTTGAGACAAGATCTTACTCTGTCACCCAGGCTGGAGTGCAGTGGTGCCAGCATGGCTCACTACAGCCTTGAACTCCTAAATTCAAGTGATCCTCTCACCTCAGGCTTCCCAGCAGCTGGGACTACAGGCATGTGCCACCACTCCAGCTAAATTTTTGTGATGAGGTCTCACTCTGTTGCCCAGGCTGGTTTCAAACACCTGGCTTCATGCAATTCTCCTGCCTTGACCTCCCAAAGTGACAGGTGGGTCATGCCTGTAATCCCAGCACTTTGGGAGGCTGAGGTGGGTGGATCACTTGAGGCCAGGAGTTTGAGACCAGCCTGGACAACATGGTGAAACCCCATCTCTACTAAAAATATGAAAAATTAGCTGGGTGTGGTGGTGCATGCCTGTAGTCCCAGCTATTCGGGAGGCTGAGGCGGGAGAATCGCTTGAACCCGGGGGGCCAAGGTTGTAGTGAACTGAGATCGCGCCACTACACCCCAGCCTGAGTGACAGAGCAAGACTCCGTCTCAGTAAAAAAAAAAAAAAAGAGAGAGACTTAAGACAACATCACTCTTTAGCAATTCTGTCTAGAGTGGGGCCTTACAATTTGGAGCAGCTGGTGAATTCTGGTTTTATTAGGAAGAACCAGAAAGAGGGTTATCCTTGATGCAGGCTCACAGAGCACATAATTAAGCTCCCCTGACATTTAATTCTTGGCAAAGCTGTGACAGCCAAGTTTGTCCTTTCCCCCTTCTCCCTACCTCCTTCCCCAGGGAGTCCGGCTCAGTCCTCTACCCTCCTGTGGCCACCAGCCTGCACCACGGTTCCTCAGCATCCACCATCCCCAGCAGGCACCTGATGCCACAGGACTCCTCAACCCTCCATTGAGTCAAACCCACCTCTTTTTTTTTTTTTTTTGAGACGGAATTTCGCTCTGTTACCCAGGCTAGAGTGCAATGGCACCATCTTGGCTCACTGCAACCTCCGCCTCCCAGGTTCAAACAATTCTCCTGCCTCAGCCTCCCGAGTAGGTGGGATTACAAGCATGCGCCACCACACCCAGCTAATTTTGTATTTTTAGTAGAGACAGGGTTTCACCATGTTGCTCAGTCTGGTCTCGAACTCCTGACTTCATGTGATCCGCCCACCTCGGCCTCCCAAAGTGCTGGGATTACAGGCGTGAGCCACTGTGCCTGGCCCCAAAACCCACCATCTTAATGTCTAAGGGGGACAGTGAGTTCACCAAATCAAACTCTCAAAATGGGCATAACAATTGAGTTATCACCCCTAACAAAACACTTTCATTTCAGCAAGAGTTTGAATTCTTTTTCTGGAGACAACACCTTGATCTAAAATGGCTTCAAAAGTATGAATTCCATAGCTGCGTACAGGGGCACAGGTACAGTCTCAGCTACTTGGGAGGCTGAGGCAAGAAGATCACTTGAGCTCCCGACTTCGAGTCCAGCCCGAGCAACAGAGTGAGGAGACCCTGTCTCTAAATAAACTAGTAAATAAGCAATTCTAGACCATACTTTCCAAATCCAGTCTTCTTCACTATTTTTATACTCCTGAGATCCAGTATTTAAACTACTCTAACCTAAATGTAAAATTTTACATTAAAAGTATTATATACAATTTTAAGTATTATATACTTGTTGATAAAAGTTATCTGAAACAGTCTATCAAATATGAAGAATGCTTTCCATCTGAGATTCAGCACTTAGGGAGGAAATATTAAATGCCTACTAAGAAATCACTGGCCAGGTGTGGTGGCTCATACCTGTAATCCCAGCACTTTGGGAGGCCAAGATGAGAGGATCGCTTGAGCCAGGGGTTCAGTCCAGCCTGGCAATAGAGCAAGAACCCATCTCTTAAAAAAAAAATTAATAAAAATTAAAAATAAATTATTTATTCATAAAATTTATGAATTTGAATCTTTACTTTTCCCCCCAAAAGTGGTAGTACTCTATGAAGAGAAAAACTGGCCAAGTAATAGGAAAAATAAAATTAAATGCCTGCATACCAACAAATGCATAGTCTTAAGAGTCAAAAGCTCAGCCAGGAGTAGTGGCTCACGCCTATAATTGCAGCACTTTGGGAGGCCAAGGCAGATGGATCACTTGACATCAGTAGTTCAAGACCAGCCTGGCCAACATGGTGAAACCTTGTCTCTATTTAAAAAATACAAAAATTAGACAGGCATGGAGGCAGGCACCTGTAATCCCAACAACTTGGGAGGCTGAGGCAGGAGAATGGCTTGAACCCAGGAGGCGGAGGTTGCAGTGAGCTGAGATGGCGCCACTGCACTCCAGCCTGGGCAAGAGAGCAAGACTCCATCTCAAAAAAAAAAAAAAAATATCAAAAGCTTAATTCCAGTATTTTTCCTAAAAGCAATAACTATTTTAGGACATCTTAAGTAAAGGCATAAGCTGTGGAATAAATGCTGTGTTTACCTAGTTTTATATGCTCCACTCGTTCATGGAGCTGATTTACTAGTGCTTTCATCTGCTTGTAGTTCTCCTAAAACAGAAATAGAGGAGACAGGGGAGAGAAATATTAGAAAGCAATTCCTTTTTACCAAAATAAAGGTCAAAAAAAAAAAAAAAACAGTGGTCTGTGCCAACTCTGTGTGGCCGCCACACTGGGCCACCCCATCTGTGGCAGCCACGCTGGGCCACTGGATCGTATGGAAAAGATTCACCCCTGCCTGTCTTGTTCAAGCTCTTCTTCACCACCCCACTTGTCCATCTCTCCATATCTTACTCCTCTGTAAGCCTAATTCATGTTTTATCTCATCTTCAACTCTACTTCTGGCCACTCCTACTCAATTTAACATCTTTCTTCCTTAAACACCTTCTGAACTTAAACTGATCTCTATTTGTTTTCCTATTTTAAGGAATATAAGCTTTTTGAAGGTTAGAATACCATCTTATTTTTCCTGTCCCATCAGTCACTATCTGAGATTCCAACCAATGCTTGCTTACTGACAAAGTACACTTAAAAACAAATCCCAGAGGGAGAAAAAGGATCTTATTTTTATTTTTAATTTTGTATTTTTATTTTTTGGGACAGAGTCTCCCTTTGTTGCCCCGGCTGGAGTGCAATGGTGCAATCTCGGCTCACTGCAACCTCCGCCTCCCGAGATCAAGCGATTCTCCTGCCTCAGCCTCCTAAGTAGCTGGGACTACAGGTGTGTGCCACCATGCCCAGCTAATTATTGTATTTTTAATAGAGACCGGGTTTCGCCATGTTGGCCAGGCTGATCTCAAACTCCTTACCTCAAGTGATTTGCCCATCTCGGCCTCCCAAAGTGCTGGGATTACAGGCATGAGCCACCGCACCTGGCCAAGGATCCTATTTTATGTTTTAAAAAGAACAGGCTGAGTGTGGTGGCTTATGTCTGTTATCCCAGAGCTTTGGAAGGCGGAGGCAGGAGCATCGCTTAAGCCCAGGAGTTTGAGACCAGCCTGAGTAACATAGGGAGACTTCCATCTTTACAAAAAGAATAAAAATAAAAAGAATAAAAATTTAAAAATTATCTGGGCATGGTGGTGTGTCCCAGCGACTTGACCAACTAAGGTGGAAGGATCTCTTGAGCCCAGGAGTTTGAAGCTGCAGTGAACTAGGATCGTGCCATTGTACTCCAGCCTGGGTGACAGAGCAAGACTGTTTCAAATAAATAAATAAATTAGTAAAAAGAACAAAACTCGGCCAGCCGTGGTGGCTCACGCCTGTAATCTCAGCACTTTGGGAGGCCGAGGCGGGCAGATCACCTACGGTCGGGAGTTCGAGACCAGCCTGACCAACATGGAGAAAACTCGTCTCTACTAAAAAATACAAAATTAGCCAGGCAAGGTGGTGCTTGCCTGTAATCCCAGCTACTCGGGAGGCTGAGGCAGGAGAATCCCTCGAACCCGGGAGGCGGAGGTTGCAGTGAGCCAAGATTGCATCATTGCACTCCAGCCTGGGCAACAAGAGCAAAACTCCATCTCAAAAAAAAAAAAAAAAAAACAGAACAAAACTCTATGCTGGCATATATACACAAATTAAGTAATACACAAGGAAATATTGACAGTGAGAAGTAGAAAAGAGGTAGAGGGACTAACTTTTCACCCTTCTGTATTTTTAAATTTTGTTTGGTCAGCATATTACTTTAGAACAATACTTAACTAGCTAATTATCTTTGAAATTCAGACTTGGCCCACTAATACATTTTGCTCCCCATGTGATTAGCATCTCTAGTTATTTAGTTCCTTCTGTTTGACAGAACACTAAGCAACTTCCTAACTGTTCAAACTTAGATGAATATTCAGTCTACAGTATATCTCCATTATTTCCTATTTTCTACAGCTCCAAGAGCTCTGAGGGTCATGATTTCTGCTACATTCTCTTGCTCTGCAAAATCCAGAAAATAAAAAACAAGGAAGCAGCATGGTATTAGGGAAAGAACCAGTTGGAGCTAACACAATATACAGAACTTGTCACCCTACAACAGCAGAAAAAAGTATGTAACTTTTCTCAAGTGCACAGGCAACATTCTCCAAGATAGACTACATGTCAGGCCACAAAACAAATCTTAATAAATTTTAAAAGACTGAAATCATACAAAGTATCCTTTTTTTTTTTTTTGAGACGGAGTCTGGCCGTGTCGCCCAGGCTGGAGTGCAGTAGCACAGTCTCAGCTCACTGCAACCTCCGCCTCCCGGGTTCAAGCGACTCTCCTGCCTCACACTCCCAAGTAGCTGGGATTACAGGCGTGCGCCACCATGCCCAGGTAATTTTTTTATTTTTAGTGGAGACAGGGTTTCACCATGTTGGCCAGGCTGGTCTAGAACTCCTGACCTCAGGTGATCCACCAGCCTCGGCCTCCCAAAGCGCTAGGATTACAGGCCTGAGCCACCATGCCTGGCCCAAAAGTATCCTTTCAATCACAATGGAATGAAACTAGAAATCAATGGCAGAAGGATGACTGGAAAATTCACAAATATATGGAAATTAAACAACGTACTTTTAAGCAACCAGTGGGTCAAAGAAGAAAAGCACTGACCCACTGAAGCTGACATTTGCCTCTACAGACTGGGCAACATCTGTGCCAAGCTCAGCCCATCAGACTTAAATCACAGAAGAGCCAGTACTGGCTACAGTTCACCTCCCAGGCAATCCTTTATCAACCAACCTAGCCTCCTTAGGATGAGACTCACTAACCAAGAGGCAGTGTAGTTTAGTGGCAAAACCAAGTTCAACTTTCAGTTTCCCTACTTACTGATACTGCATTTGGCAAATCTTGATCTCTCAGGACGCCAGGTGTTTGTGTTTGTGTGTGTGTGTGTGTGTGTTTTAATCACCTGCGAAACAACATTCTACAACCTAGTAATTTTCTTGTGAAGCTGAGCAACCACAGAGGTTAGTGCCTGACAGTCATAATGAATTGGAGCTGAGCCACTGACAAGTTTCCCACCCCATCTTTTCAACCATAGAACCCACCTAGGTAGAGCTGGGTGAGTGAGAAGCATTATAGAGCAACAGTTAAGACCCTGGACTCAAGAGTTATGAGCCAGACCACCTGGCTTCAAATTCAGGCTCTGTGTTATCTCAGACAAATTTCTTGGACCCTATATACCACAGTTTTCCCATCTATAAAACAGAAATAACAATTGTACCTACTGCACAGGATCATTATGATAAATACATGAGTAAAACCACATAAAGCCTTTAGAAAAATGGTGGGTACACTATAAAATTCCTGCCATTATTATTACTTATTATAGTTGCTTTTATTTGTAATCAGGAAACACAGCTAAACTGGATCATTCATCCCATTCTCCCCCACCCTCATGGACTTGCTTTGTCTAATGTGAGCACACATTAATTTCATCACATGCCAGCAAGGATTTTAAATCCAATTTGTGTTCAGCCTCTTGCTCCTGTGCCTTCGGCCATGAGAAGGGCATGTTTAATTCAGGGCTGCTCTTCAGCCTCAGTCCAGGAATGGGAAGACACATGGAGCAGACCTGAACCTACCCTGCAGTGGAACAGTCACAGCAGCAGCTAACCAAAGGCCACCAACACGAGTGAGAGATTAAGAAACAAAACAAAATCAAGTGAGAGACTAATATTTACTGTTGTGAGTTACTGAGATTTTTTGATTATTTGTTACACAAAGCGCAACCTAGCAAAAGGTGATTCATACAAAACCCATCACCAAAGCCTTCTTTGTATTAATGGCAGTTCCACCTAACTAAATATTCTGCCCAGTTGGAAACTCCAAAGTCATCCATTTTCCCCTTCCACTCAGTTATTAACTCTATAATCTTTGCTCCTCAGGTATTTATGCCCCCCTCCTACATACAACTCTAACTTTGACTCCTTCATCTCAAGACTCAACTCTCCACTGTCACCTAGGTCTAGTCTTTTCCCTATATCAATCCATCCTCCACATTGCCACCACACTGATGATTCTACCATATCCATAGGATCATGCCACTTATCTACTTAAATATTTTAATGGACAACCTGCCAAATGGAATCTAAATGTGGCTTTTGCATGGAAGATCCTCCTCTATCTGGCCCCATAATCAATCAATCCCATCACCAGACACTATTCAATGAATTCCATGTCCTAGACATGGAATTCAAGTCCTCACACCAGATATACACTTTCATAACTCAGTACCTATGTTCTTGTAACTCTCTTGGTTTATACAGTCTTACCTTCCATCCTGCACCCTGAACTTGGCCAGCTCTTACCCAAGATTCATCTCACCCATTACTTCCTATCGGTAGCTTTCTGTAACCACCTTCTCAAGCTTTAGACAACCCTTCTTACACTGTACCACAGTTACCTGCTTTCTTGTCCATCTTCCCTACAAAATTATTAGTTCCATTCCTACGCATCCATGCCAAATATCTAAAATAGTGCCTAGACCACAATAACCACTTAATAATTCTGAATTAAACATTCTGGACTGACAAACAATTGTGTGTTGTTTGCACTATTTAGATGTTATCTGTATAGGCTTAGAAATCGTGGGAACACAGTGAAATTTTCCAGCTCTGATATTTCGCAAGTTTTGAGTTTTTTGGCCTTATGATGCCTCCTAATTCCAAGAAAAGCCACTCAAAGATACTGTGGGATATTTTCTATTAACATAACCAACTTTTTTTTTTTTTTTTTTTTGAGACAGAGTTCGCTCTTGTTGCCAAGGCTGGAGTGCAATGGCACGATCTCAGCTCACTGCAACCTCCGCCTCCCAAGTTCAAGCGATTCCCCTGCCTCAGCCTCCCAGGTAGCTGGGATTACAGGCGCGCGCCACCATGCCCGGCTAATTTTTGTATTCTTAGTAGAGATGGGGTTTCACCACGTTGGCCAGGCTGTTCTCGAACTCCTGATCTCAGGTAATCCACCCGCCAGGGCCTCCCAAAGCGCTGGGATTACAGGCGTGAGCCACTGGGCTCGGCCATCATAATCAACTTTTAAACTCAAATTTCCTAAGCACAGCGCCCCTCGTTGGGCTGCTCTAGGCCAGTGGTTCCCAAAGCTGGCTGCCAAAAGTCCCCTAATGAGTTCACTAACAATATAAACACAGCGACTCCACCTGAGACCCACAAGGTCCAGAGTAGGGCTCAGGCAGCTATTCAGCTAGCTCCCCAGGTGGCAATTCTAAACCAGGCTTTAAGAACCACTGATTTCAAAGACACAAAGTACAGTGCCAGCTCTAAAAGTGAACTAAACTTTCTTGTATCTGTTAGGCTTTTCTTCTTCAAACTTCACGTGCGTCACAGAATCAACTGGGGCTCCGGACAAGAGAGCAGCAGTTGTTGAAGCGTGCCCCTCCTCCACTTGCTTCCTAGCCTGGCACCGGCGGCCAGGCCACCGGGGCGCTCAGCCTACCTGGTAGAGGGCAGAGCCCAAGTCCGGCTGGGTGCCCAGCGAGGCCACCGAGTCCCCGTGATAGGCGCGCGGCCCGGCGGGAGAGGCGCGGGCACACGGCCGCAGGGCTAACCTCAGGACGGCCCACATGGCGGCGGGCACCGAGCGAGAGAGCGGCCCACGCTGGCCTGGAGCCGGTGCTTTCCCCTGCCGCTTCCCTGGCTGGGGCGGAAGCTGAGCTCAGGTCCTTGCAGCCCCAGAGAAGGTTTCTCTGATTCTCAGGCCTGTCCACACACGTGCCTAAGCGCGCCGCCCGCGATTGGTCAAGCCGCGCCACGCCCCCTGACCCAGCCAATAAGGGACAGAGCCTCAGCCCCGCGAGGTCGCGTCTAGTCCCGAGCGCAGGAGAGCAGGTCTCCCCGGCGGATCGACCCTCACGAAGCGGTGCGGCAGTGAGAGAGCTGCGGTTGGGCTTGGATTGGTGTTGTGTTGACACAGCGATAGATAATATCACGATAGTGACTGTACCTAAGGCAGGAGAATAAGTCTGGAAGCAGGGAACCTAAGGCTGTCTCACGCTGACTTCCTAGAGCTAAACTGAAAGGAAAACCCTAACTTTCCATGCCTAAGTAACAAAAGGACCAAAGGCTACTCCCTTTGCAAACCCCCCCACCTTTTCCGCAGGGCAGATAGGAAATTGGCTGTCCCCGACAAATCAGACTTACTGCTGGTGGAGGCTTGCTTTGCCAAGTTTGAACCTTAACTCCAGCCTCTGAATGGTTGCTGTCCACAACCAATCAGACTGATTGGGGGTCCAGTCTTCGTTTGCATAGAAGTATAACTTTGTAATTTCACCCTAGCCTCTGACTGCTTGCTTCTTGCAACCAATCGGGTTTGAGGTGAGCATAAAATGGCCAATAGGAAACTTCTAGTGGGTATTTGGACCCAAGAAGATTCTATATCCGGGCCCTTGAGCTCTGCTCGGTCCGCTCCCACATTGTGGAGTGCACTTTCGTTTTCGGTAAATCCCTGCTTTCGTTCTTTCGTTGCCTTGTTCTTTCTTTGCTTTGCTGGGCGTTTTGTCCAATTCTTTGTTCACAATGCCAAGAACCTGGACAACTTGCAGTCACAACCCCCAGTGACACACCAACAACATGAGTGAATCGCATCTAACACGTGCTTGCGAACAGCACAACAAGCCTGTTGTCCTTTCACTGGAGACCTTAAACATTCTTCTGATTATTTTCGCTATGTAGTTATTTTTATTTTTTACTTTATTTCATTTTTTGAGACAGGGCCTCACTCTGTCGCCCAGGCTGCAATGCAGTGGCACGATCACAGCTCGCTGAATCCTTGACCTCCCACCTCAGCCTTTCCAGTAGCTGAGACTACAGGTTTGTGCCACCAAGCCCGGCTAATTTTTTATTTTTGTAGGGGTTTCACCATGTTGGCTATGCTGGTCTTGAACTCCTGGACTCAAGCGATCTGCCCGCCACAGCCTCCCAAAGTGCTGGGATTACAGACATGAGCCACCACACCAGGCACTATGTAGTGACAGATTGTGGACATCAGCACTGTGGTCTTAAATAAAGGACTCCAAATATACCCATAAAAATTAAAACATTCTATACAAAATGCCTTGAACTTAAGGTTTTTCATTCACATATTTATTGAGCACTTACTACTTCTACTCCATTGGTTGCTTAGTGGGGCAGAGTAAAGGGGGAGGATGGGGTAGAGAAAGGGTGCGTCTACACCTGGAGGTAAACTTAGGTTCAGACTTCAAGGTACTTATAAGAAAATAATACAAATGGCCACATGATTTCTTACTGAACTGTGTAGGACAGACATTAAAGGAACAGAATGCAATTGGGAAAGGGTTGCAGCTGAGCCTTGCAGAAGCGTTGAGAGTGGACTGAGCAATGAACATGGCCAGGCTTTGTGCAAATGGAGGAGAGCATGAGCTAAACTGCAAAGGTATGATTTACACTGTGCTTGCCTCCCATGGTCAACAGAAAAAAAGGCCAGTAAAAACTGACTTTTCATATGTATCAGGGTATCAGAAGAGAGGGTTTGATATTTTAATTGCCACACTTTATTTTTCTCTAAATAGTTCTTCAATGATGCAAAGTACTTAAAATCACCACCCGAAGACAGAAAAGACACAATAGGATATGATTCCTTGCTTTCTTTAAAAGTCATACCTGTTTTGGCCGGGTGCAGTGGCTCATGCCTATCATCCTAGCACTTTGGAAGGCCAAGGCAGGTGGATTATCTGAGGTCAGAAGTTTGAGAGCAGCCTGGCCAACATGGTGGAACCTCATCTCTACTAAGAATACAAAAATTAGCCAGGCATAGTATCACGTGCCTGTAATCCCAGCTACCTGGGAGGCTG
Organism: Homo sapiens; assembly: GCF_000001405.40. Taxonomy (NCBI): domain Eukaryota; kingdom Metazoa; phylum Chordata; class Mammalia; order Primates; family Hominidae; genus Homo; species Homo sapiens. Next base: position 2,072,322 of record NW_025791777.1, on the reverse strand, counting down.
AGGCAGGAGAATCGCTGGAACCCGAGAGGCAGAGTCTGCAGTGAGCCGACATGGCACCACTGCACTCCAGCCTGGGTGACAGAGCAAGACTCTGTCTCAAAAAAAAAAAAAAAAAAAGTCATACATGTTTCTTATTTCTTGTAACTTTTGTTACAAGAAGCTCTTTGGAAATGTATAATGTTCCCAGAACAGCTAAGTAGAAAAATGCAAAAGGTGAAGTGCAAATGCACAGAAGGCCAAAAGCAGTCACCTAGCATCTGTTAGTGTCCAGTGTCTCTCTACCCCACTATTGAGATTACAAGGAACATAATCTTTGCCATCTCTGATTTTTTAAAATAATGTTTTATTGAGGCCAGGAACTTGAAACTAGCCTAGGCAACATAGTGAGCCCATGTCTCTGAAAAATAAAAATAGCCATGCACAGTGGCATGTGCTTGTAGTCCTAGCTACTTGGAGGGTGAGGTGAGAGAATCACTTGAGTCCAGGAGTTTGAGGCTGCAGTGGGCCATGATCTTGCCAAGCACTTCAGCCTGAGTGACAAGAGCTAGACCCTGTCTCTAAAAAAAACAATAAAAATAAAATAAAAATAAAGTAAAATAATGTTTTTATTTTATTTATTTATTTATTTATTTTTCTGAGAGGGAGTCTCGCTCTGTCGCCCAGGCTGGAGTGCAGTGGCACGATCTCGGCTCACTGCAAGCTCCGCCTCCCGGGTTCATGCCATTCTCCTGCCTCAGCCTCCCGAGTAGCTGGGACTACAGGTGCCCGCCACCACACCTGGCTAATTTTTCATATTTTTAGTAGAAACCGGGTTTCACCGTGTTAGCCAGGATGGTCTCGATCTCCTGACCTCGTGATCCACCCACCTCGGCCTCCCAAAGTGCTGGGATTACAGGCGTGAGCCACCGCGCCTGGCCAAAATAATGTTTTATATAATAAAAATAAGAGAATTAATTGAAAAATGTAACCGCCAGGGCTGATCTCTGCAGCCTGGTGCGCTGCCTTTCATCTCACCCTCAGTTCCTTCCCATGCATTGCTCATTCCCATTGGCTGCCATCTTCCACTTGCTCTCCTTCCTTTATCCGCACCGTTCCCTCTGCCCAGGGCATCTTTCCACGACCAGACTTGTCCGTTCCATCTTCTCCACCTGGTGAGCCCATACACATCCTTTAGGACTTGGCTCAGGAATCTCCTACTCCAGAAGCCCTCCCTGACCCCACCTCATTACCTCTTTCTCCCTTCAACAGGCCTCTATTGTGGCTCGGGTCAGCACTTGTTGTTAGGGCTCATTTAGTTTCTCCAACTTGGGGTCTTGTCAGTGTCATCATTTATGGCCTATGCTGGGCATATTACAGACGCTAAATTTGTTGAATGAATACATAAAAAATAACTGCTCTGGAATCAGAGCAAGGAGACATTCCAGGACACCTAAGGGAGGGTTATTTAAAGGCCAGGCAAGAAGCTGGGAGGTCAGGATGAGCAGTTAGACCTGGCAGGCTCTCCTTTGCTATCAAGTCTCTTCTGTAGAAACTTAATGACCTTACCTGGGATATCACATGGTATTACTTTGGTTGTACTCTATTGGATTCAAGGGGAGGGGACATAGACCCCACCACTCAATGGAAGGAGTGTCAAGGCCACTGGCAGAAAAGATGAGAGACATTGTGTGACTATCTTTGGAAAACATGACTGACATGCCAGCACATGCACTCATGTTTATACATTTATCCCAATCCAACCTTATATTTGTTTTCCTTGGCGTAACAATCCATTTCCATATTCCCTAACTCTTGCCAATACACACTGGCAAGAAACTATCTCTTTCTGGGCCACGTTCAGTACTTTTTGGTTTGCACTGGAATAACTAACTTCTGTTAAGATCCAGAGGCAAGGAGGCAGGGTAGGATCAGTCCCTTACAAGAACTAGCATCAGCTCATAAGGCAACTGCCCCAGATGAAGCGACTAAGTGCCTTTTACACAGGGAAAGGCTGGTCAGGAATGGGGAGTGGATATGAGGGTAGGTTGCCTCCACTCTGAGAAAAGCTCAAGGGGATTTGGGCATTTGAGAGTCTGGGTCTTGACCACATCTGCCCAAATGTGTCCATCCTATTTCTCAGCTTTCCATTCCTTCCTGTGTAGTGTCCTTATATCATACTGTACCTTTCATTGACCCTTCAACTCCCTTCTTGTCAAATCCTGGCTTGATTCTCGGCCAAACTGCCCTGCATCTACAGAAGATAATAGACTCCAAGCTGTGATAAAGGCTTTTTTACTTTTCACTATTATAAGAATCTACTCAAGGTAAATAAAATTACGTGTGCATACAAAAACTTGAACAAAAATATTTATAACAGCTTTATTTGTAATACACAAAATCTCTAAACAACCCAAATGTCCATTAACAGATGAATGAATAAGCAAATTATGGTAAATCCATATGACACAATACTGCCTGCAATAAAAATGATGTAGGGCACGGTAGCTCACACCTACAATCCCAGCTACTTGGGAGGCTGAGGCCCTTCAGCCCAGGAGTTCAAGACCAGCCTGGGCAACACAGCAAGGCCCCACTCTTAAAAAATTAGCCTGGTATAGTGGCGCGTACCTGTAGTTCCAGCTACTTCGGAAGCCAAGGTGGGAGGATCACTTGAGCCTAGGAAGTCAAGGCTGCAGTGAGCTATGATTGCACCACTGCACTCCAGCCTGGGCAACAGAACGAGGCCCCAACTCTTAAAAAACAAAAACAAAAACAAAAAAAGTTAGATTTTATGTAAAGCACAATCTCTAAAGGTTATCCAAGACCACTTTTAAGCTTAATGATTAACTAGAAAGACTCACAGAACTCAGAAAAGCTATGTTCAGTTATGGCTTATTACAGTGAAAGGATACAGTTTTAAATCAGCATAAAATTAGCATAAACTATCTGTCATGGCTGAAGGCCCCAGGTATACAAAAACTCTTAAAAGGCAGGACATTTATTTCAAGGGCTTATAGGTTAAGGAACTGGTCAAGTGTCAGTTCCTTCTTTGGAATGTGTACAACCCAAACCTGCTGAATTAACCCTTTATTGCACAGTTACATACTGTATGATCCCATTTTAATGAAATGAAAAGTTGTGGGCCCAGCATGGTGGCTCATGCCTGTAATCTCAGCGCTCTGGGAGGCCAAGGCAGGGGTGGGGGATCGCCTGAGCCCAGGAGTTGGAGACTAACCTGGGCAACATAGCAAAACCCAGTCTCTACAGAAACTTTTTTCAAAAAAACAGCTGAGCGTGGTGGCATGCACCTGTGGTCCCAGCTGCTTGGGAGGCTGAGATGGGAGGATTGCTTGAGCATGGGAGGTCAAGGCTGCCATGAGCTGTGCACTCCAGCCTAGGTGACCAAAAAAAAAAAAAAAAAGTTGTAGTGGAGAACAGATAAGTGGTTGTCAAGGGTTAGAGCTGGAGGAGGGAATGACTATAATTGACAGCATGAGAGTGACTTTCGGGGTGATGGAACAGCTCTGTACCCTGACTGTGGTGATGTTACATAAACCTATACATGGGATAAAATTTCATGGAATTGTATATACACATGCACTGCCTGTAAGCATGATATGTAGCCAGCTTTCTGTATCCCCAGATCTCACATCGGCAAATTCAACCAACCACAGATGGAAAATATTGGGTGGGAAGAGACAATAAAAAAATAACAATACAGGCCAGGCGCAGTGGCTCACACCTATAATCCCAGCACTTTGGAAGGCCAAGGTGGGCGGATCACTTGAGCCTAGGAGTCTGAGACCAGCCTGGGCAACATGGCGAAAAACCCATCTCTATTAAAAATACAAAAATTAGCTGGGAGTGGTGGAGCCTGTAATTCTAGCTACTCGGGGGCTGAGGCAGGAGGATCACCTAAGCCATGGGAGGTCGAGGCCATAGTGAGCTACGATCTCACCACTGTACTGCAGCCTGGGCAATAGTTGAGACCCTGTCTTAAAAAAAAAAAAACCACGCAACAATACAATAAAAAAATACAAATTTAAAATGCAGTATAATGACTATTTGCATAGCATTCGCATTTGTATTAGTTATTAGAAATAATCCAGAGAAAATTTAAAGTACATGGGAGGACGTGCATAAGACATATGCTCATACCATTTTATATAAAGGACTTGAGCATCCTGGGGTTTTGGTGGAGGAGGAGAGTTGTGGAACCAATCCTTGAGGATATTGAGAATTGGCTGTAATTTGAATAAAATCTTTAGTTAATAGTATTGCGCACATGTCAATTTCCTGGTTTTCATCATTGTACTAGGATTATATAAGATGTTCTTGGGGAAATATAATTTAAGACAAAAATTCCTGCCACAACAAAAAACCTCTCCATTAAAGTAGAAGAGAAAAAAACAATTTTAGTATTTGAAAACCTATCAAACCAGAATGTGATGTGCATTACAGGCAATCTGCTAAAGAGATTGCAAAGACAACCTAACCCTCACCCCTGGAAGGCAGAGGTTGCAGTGAGCCGAGATTGCGCTACTGCACTCCAGCTTGGGTGACGGAGTGAGACTCTGTCTCAAAAAAATAAAAAACACTCACCCCTTTATATAACCAGGCAGATGCAACCCATGTCATACATGTTTTCAAGATAAACAACTAGTCCTCAAATAAGATGACTTCACAGCACCACCTGTCACCTGCGAATCGGAGTAGTCACCTGTGTTTGTTAATTGTCTTTATCCAAAGGAAAATTAAATTTCTTATGTCTTTATGGTAGGTTTGTAACTTAACAGGTGCCAGCTGAAGTTAGGTTCCTACCCTTCCATAGGACTAGGAAATAGGAATGCTATTTCCCTCGATGATTTCATTTCAAAGAGAAGGCTTCCAGGTCCTTAAGGATAAGATTATGGGGTTGGGGAAAAAAAAAACTGACAAGAGATTTATTTATCTTTTTTTTTTTAAACTAACACCTTTCTCATGGGTTATTAAGCTTATTTAAAAAAAGATGTAGGCCGGGCATGGTGGCTCACACCTGTAATCCCAGCACTTTGGGAGGTGGAGGCAGGCGGATCACGAGCTCAGGAGATTGAGACCATCCTGGCCAACATGGTGAAACCCCGTCTCTACTAAAAATACAAAAATTAGCTGGGCATGGTGGCCCGTGCCTGTAATCTCAGCTACTTGGGAGGCTGAGACAGGAGAATAGCTTGAACCAGGGAGTCGGAGGTTGCAGTGAGCCGAGATTGTGCCATTGCACTCTAGGCTGGCGAAAGAGCGAGCCTCATAAAAGAAGATGTAAATACATCTTCAAAGGGCAGAGAAGGAATTCACAATTACAAGTTTTCTAAAGTAAACGCTCTGAAGACAGACTGGGGGATTCTTTCTTTTCTAGGAAAATTCAATTTTTAATTGTTTTTAGATTTTTATTTACACTTACATAATCATGGGGGAAAAGTGAAGGATACAAGGGGAACTTTTTGTATTATTTTTGCAACTTCTATGTGAGTCTAAAATTATTTCAAAGAAGCTATGTGCAGTGGCTTGTGCCTATTGTCCCAGCTACTTGGGAGGCCAAAGTGAGAGGATCACTTGAGCCCAAGGGTTTGAGGCCAGCCTGGGCAAATAGTGAGACTCCATCTCCAAAAAAAAAAAAAAAAAAAAAAAAAAAGAATTATAGTCAAATTGAAACATGTTGAGAGGAGAAGAGGAGATTGGGAAAGAAACAAAGAGACTAGAAATAAGGAGTACTTGGTATATACTTATGCTATATGGCTAACCTTTAAAAAATACAATATATCCACTTTATGAGAAAAGCCATACAAAATATAAAGATTAAACCATATTTTTAAAAAAGAATAAATTATTAATATATTCAACAAGGTAGATGAATCTCAAAATAATCATGCTAAGGCTGGATGCGGTGGCTCACGCCTGTAATCCCAACACTTTGGGAGGCCGAGGCAGATGGATCACCTGAGATCAGGAGTTCGAGAACAGCCTGGCCAACATGGCAAAACCCCGTCTCTACTAAAAATACAAAAATTAGCCGGGCGTGATGGCGGGCGCCTGTGATCCCAGCTACTTGGGAGGCTGAGGCAGGAGAATCACTTGAACTCAGGAGGCAGAGGCTGCAGTGAGCCAATATTGCACCACTGCACTCCAGCCGGGGCAAAAAGAGTGAAACTGTGTCTCAAAAACAAACAAACAAACAAAAAATCATGCTAAAGGGAAGAAGTGAAACCAAAAAGGAAAAAGGGTATATATGATTTCATTTATATAAAATTCTAGAAAATGCAGGCTATCCATCGTGACCAAAAGCAGATTGTTACCTTGGGATCTGGGAGGTGTTCAGGAGAGAGGGAGGAGCAGGAGGCCAGGGTAGAAGAGGCAACTTTGGAAATGATGGATATATTATTATTATTGTGGTGATGGTTTATGGGTGTACACATATATTAAAATTTAATTGTATTCTAAATATATGCAGTTTGTGTGTCAAATATAGCCAATAAAGCTATTTAAAGGAATCCCAAGCCAAGCACTCCATACCAGTTAAATGATCATTTCTGATGTTGGAACCTAGGAATGAGTATTCTTTTAAACATCTCAGGTGATTCCAGTAGGCAGCCAAGTTTGAGAATCTGCTATAAAACAGTGATTCTCAAATCGTGCTCACAGGCCAGTGGCATCAGCCTCACCCAGGAACTTGTTAGAAATGCTCATTCTTAGGCCCCAGGCTGATCTGCTGAATCATAAACTTCAGGATTGGGGCCCATAGTGGTGGCTCATGCCTGTAATCCTGTAGAGCACCTAATTCTGTCGCTGTTCGAGGCGCCACTTGTAGTCTGCCAGGATCCATGGTGGACTGAACAAAGGGGGATGAATGCGGGAATAAAGACAAGAGACAAAAGAGTATGTTTGGAAGAAGGGTCAGGGGACACCTTGCCTCTAGTGGACAAGGGCCCTGAGCTTTACACAGCCCTCCATATTTATTAGGCAAAAGAGATAGTGAGAAGGGGTGTGGAAGAAGAGGTCAGCTGCTCGGTCCAGAGTAGGCTTGCAAGACTGCATTCCTCGAACAATAGGCTCTAGATGTCCCAGTAGATAACCTCAAGGAGCCGGGGCCAGGGAGCGATGGCCCTCAGCAAACCTTCTGGGCAGGCACAGAAGCGAGTTTGCCCACATTCTGTATTCATGATAAACAGTTTGCTGTTTGATCATGTAGCCTCCAGTGGAATGCTGAGTTGGTCACCATCCCTTTGGCCTTTTTGGCTCCCAACATTTCCCCCTTCTTGTTTATGTATTAAGTGAAAGAATGTAAGGCCAGGCTGGGTAGCTTTCATTCTCCGATTGGCAGTCCATCCGATTTTACAGACTATGAACAGAAGACAGAGACAAAACAACATTATTCCAAGAACTATATATAAGATGTTAATGTGGTGCTTTAGATAGGTCCAAGGGTTGACGCTCTCCAGGCCTTGCTGGAATTCAGTCCAGTCTTCTAAAGAAGGCTGAAACTCTGGAATTTGTTTATTTAAATCAAGAATTTTGTTTTGTAATTCACCAATATCAAAGGTGATGTCGGATGTGAAAGCTCCCTGCAAATGGGCTTTCACAAGATCCCATGGATACTCACTTTGGTTATATTCTAAGTTGGTTACACAAATATGAGTGTGATTAAAATGACAACACAATTACTGCTGCAATTGCAAGCTTTGTACTTGTTCCCCTAACCATAGAATCGTGGATTATAACACTGCCACTTCAGTTTGTAACTCAGTGTTAATTTTATTCTCAAGTAGCCACCCTTGGTTGACTGTGCGTGTCCAGTTCTCCACATACTGAGCTGTTTGAATAGAACTATGCAAAGCTACAGAGGACATCACAACAGAAATTATTAGTGTGACCAAGTAAACAATAGCAAAAATTATCATGCCTAAGCCTCTACGGACACAATGAGTAAACTGAGTTAGAAGAAGTTTCACAAAATGTAAAGCAATTGTGGCAGCCCATGGCTCAGACAGATTAACAGGAATCCATAGCCCAGGGATGCAACCTAAAATCATCAAAGTAGAGATATTATGTGTTTGCAATGTGCTATGATTAATGCAGTGATATAACTGGCAAGATTTACAGGTCAATTGGGTATTGTTTACCTGGAGCTGGTCCTTCTTAGCTGCCAAAAACACATAAGGATTAAAAACACAAACTGTAAATTGAGTGGTGATATTCTTTACAAATGTAACATTAAGACTGTGTTGCTTACTATTGCTATTATTGGATAGTATTATGGCAACCCAGATGTTGCCATTCATAAATGGGAATGCTGCCTTCCATATCATCTTTTGAATTGGTCCTTTCCTCCCTAGATAATGCCACTGAGGAAGAGGCGGGCTAAAGCCTGCTCCATGCCAAGCAATCTGGGCGGCCGACTGGGATTGGATCCCAGTGTTATATAAAGAAGAAGCATTAAAAGCTTGCCACCAATGCCAGCAAAGTTTGTGCCACGATTTCTGATTTTCTTCTTTTCCATCTAATTGGCCTTTAGGTCCCCAATCCACAATGTCTCCAGTTAACATAGATTGTTTTCTAGCCAGTGGGCCAAGACACTGGGTCTATGGAGGGGGGTAGGAACTATTGAAGGGAATCCATTCTGTATAGTCAGCACAATGAAGGCGATTGGGCCAGGAATGGTTGGTTAGCACACCGGTTACATTAATATAACCAAGACTTAATAAGTACATGATTTTCCCATAGTGACTCAACCATGTGTGAGCTTGAACTGTAAGACAGCTATGGCTGAGTGATGTCTTTGTGGTGACACACAAAGGAAGTCCTTCCAATGGAGCGGTATAATTAATGACATTATTCTGAGAGTCTAACTGTTCTATGTCAGGTGGAGTTAGGGGTCCTGGAGCCCATGCTCCTTAATCATGATAAATCTTAGGAGGAGTGTCACTCCAAAGTATGGGTCATACTGCTGGGGACTTGGGAACATATGCCCAATATGTTTTTGCCTCTGCACAGGAAAAACATACTGCACAGGATATTATGGCTAACATGGCCAAGAACACGGAATCAGGGGTTTTTGTCTGGCCTTGACACTCCAGTAGTTTCTCAGCTTCCTGCGTAGTTTTCTTGAGTTGTCCCAGGTTATGGGGGTTGATGTCGTCGTGACTCTGGTCGATCTTCTCTCTGTAACAATAGTTCCTAAGTATTGGTATGGGGAAGTTGTTTGTACCTTCTCTGGAGCAATGTTGAGATTCCAATTAACAAGAGCTTACTTTACTTCTCTGAATAATTGATGCAATATTTGATCTGTAGGAGCGGCCAAAAGAGTATCAGCCATAAAATGAATGATGTAAGCAGTAGGAAACATATTCCGAGGCTCCTTTAATGCCTGTCCTACAAAATGCTGACATAGCGTAGGACTGTTAAGCATGCCTTGGGGTAAAACTCTCCATTGATAATGAGAAACAGGTTCTCTTTGATTAATAGAAGGCACAGAGAAGGCAAATTGAGGCTTATCCTTCTCATGTATGGGTATAGTAAAGAAACAGTCCTTAAGATCTATTACTACAAGAGGCCAGTCTCTTGGAATAGCCGCTGGAGATGGTAAACCTTTCTGTAAGGTGCCCATCAGTTGAATTTTTGCATTACTAGCTCTTAAATCATGCAGCAGTCACCAACTTCTGGACTTTTTTGGAATAACAAACACTGGAGAATTCCAGGGGCTAACTGACTCCTCTATGTGTCCTGCATCCAATTGTTCTTTTACTAGCTGCTGAAGTTGCGTCAGCTTCTCCCAAGATAGCGGCCATTGATCCACCCATATGGGTTTGTCACTGAGCCATTCTAATGGTAAGGCAGAGCGTGGAGAAGAAATATCAATGACCTCCATCAGAAATCCTGAGGTCCTAGCCCTTTTCTATTTGTTTTTCCAGTTATTGATATTGGATTAGGGTTTCATTGTAGGAACCTCCCCAGACCTTTTCCACTGTGATATCCCATGTTCTTCAACATTTTAAATCCTGGGTTATCAAAGTTTTCATTTGTAAGTTTCATATCCCATGCTGTAAGTCTCGACCCCATAAATTGATAGCTGTATTTGCGACATAAGGCTGAAAAGTACAAGACTGTCCATCCGGACCAAGACAAGGTAAAATCTCAGCACTTTGTTGAACACTTTGAGCTGTTTCTACTCCCAGTAAGTATGCAGAAGTTAATTGCAAGGGCCAGGATGGGGGCCAATTGTCTTTAGATATTACTGACACATCAGCTCCCATATCCATAAGCCCATAAAATTTCTTTCCTTTAATTTGTATTACACAGGTGGGTCTATTAGAGGCTACTGGTTGGGACAGACTTCCCATGTAGTTGTGCTCCCAAACCCTTTATTTCCTCATTTCTCCTTTCGTGGAGAAGGGTGTAATTTGCAGGGAATAAGCAATAATTGAGCAATATATTCTCCCAGTTCAAAAACCCAAAGATCTTGTGACATTAAAACTACTTGAATTTCTCCTTCATAATCAGAGTCAATCACTCCTGGGACTACAGTAATGCCCTGTAAGTTAAGACAGCTTTTGCCTAAAATTAGTCCCATGTATCCTGTGGGTAAAGGACCACAAATACCAGTGGGAACTTTGATGGGTTTGTCTCCCCCAACTAACATGATTCTTTCTCTAGCGGGTAGATCTAATCCTATATTTCCTGGTGTTCCTGGGGTGAAGGAACCAATGTGCCTCCGGGAACCCATCCCTGAAATGGGGTTGTGGTCTGAACTGGGAATGCCCTCATTGTTTGAGAGGCCCAGGGCCAGGCCCCGTCTCGTTTCCTGACAGGGGGGTGCCATTCTGATGAAATTTTGAGCGGCACTGATTAGCCCAGTGATTTCCTTTGTTACAGCGAGGACAAAGTCCTGGCATTTTTTTCTGCTGGGGGAGGAACTGCATTGTAAGATCCTTTCTGTCCTGAGATCTGGCGGCATTCCTTTTTTAAATGTCCAGTTTTTCCACAATTATAATATTTTCCCATTTTAGGGTCTGACCCTTGGCTCCTTTTAGATTTGTCAACAGCTAAATTAGCCATTGCTTGCACTGACATTGTAGATCGATGAAGCTCAGTTCCTACATCTTGACAAGCTCTGAGGAAATTTCCCAAGTTTTTGTACACCTCACTGGTGCCAGGGCACATTTACAATCCGCATTTACATTCTCAAAAGCTAGAGTTAAAGTTAGCATTTCTGCAGCCACGGTATGAGGAATCTGACGCTTCACTGCCTCTTGCAATCTTGCAAGAAATTGTACATAGGGTTCCTGCAACCCTTGCATGATATGTGAAAAGGACTGTACTGGGACTCCCTCTTCAGGAATTGTGGCCCAGGAACGTTTAGTGGCCTGTACACACTGCTGATAAGCAGTATCTGGGAGTGCCATTTGACATTCCAGGTCTGAATAAGGGCCTTTACCCAATAGCAAATCCTCTGTAATGTCTCCGGGTCCAGCAACACGGTTCTGTCTAGCCTGGTCTGCACACAGTTCTTGCCAATTTAAATTCCACGTCAGATATGCACTAGCAGACAAGCAAGTTCACGCCAATTGTTTTACATCAAAGGGTAAAAGACGCATAGCACCAAACACAGATTCTAGTAATCCTAAGGTGAATGGGCTCTGTACGCCCTTACTTACCACACTCACTTTTAATTCCTTCAACAACTTAAACTCTAGTCGAGTGTGTTCATGAATGAGCTGCTGTGCATTATTTGGATCAGGTCTTATGGAAATAGGAAAAGCACAAGGTCCTAAGGACTCTCCAGCTATGGCAGCAGAGCGTAAAATTATTTGTATTGGGGTCTCTATTTCTGCTACCTAAGGAGGTGGTGCAGATGGTTCTGCAACTGGAGCAGGTGGTATAGGCCAATTTTCATCCTCCCTCTCCTGTTTTTTCTTTTCTTTTCTTTCTTTTTTTTTTTTTTGAAACAGAGTCTCGTTCTGTCACCCAGGCTGGAGTGCGGTGGCACGATCTTGACTCACTGCAACCTCTGCCTCCCGGGTTCAAGCATTCTCCTGCCTCCGCCTCCTGAGTAGCTGGGACTACAGGCACATGCCACCACGCCCGGCTAATTTTTGTATTTTTAGTAGAGACAGGGTTTCACCATGTTGCCCAGGCTGGTTTTGAACTCCTAACCTCAAATGATCCACCCGCCTTGGCCTCTCAAAGTGCTGGGATTACAGGCGTGAGCCACCATGCCTGGCCCTGTTTTTTATTTTCAGCTGGAGCTGTGGGTGGGACAACAGATTCTTTCAGATTTTTAGACTCAGCCTGCTGTCCCACAGAATAATAAGGAGCTAATGGTAGAAGTACAGTACAAATTAAACTCCAAGTGGAAAAAACAGAAGAATCAACTTTAAGACCTTTTTTCATGAGGCTGTTTTAATCGTTCTCCTGCTCTGTCCCAATCTTCCACATCAAGAGTTTTAATAAGCCGTGGAAACCATGGGTTATGCGTAATAACCTCCTGTAGCATCTTAATGAATGTCTGAGAACCCGAGCACCAGTTTGTTTCAACGAAACTTTAAGCAACTGCACATAATGTTTTCCTTCAATAGACAAATTCTGCTCCATGTTACCCTGATTCAGAAAACTTCCCATTCCCAGTACTTCTTTAAAGCACTGCTCCTAGTACCTTTTTAGGGCACTGACCTTATATCCGCTGCCAGCAGACTCATCCCGGGGTCCCCATTCGCCTTGTCAATTTCAGTTCCTCTGCTCTAGCAGACATTCTTCATTCACATCCTCGAAGCCCCTGTGTTTGGACGCCACTTGTAAAGCACCAGATTCTGTTGCTGTTCGAGGCACCACTTGCAGCCTGCCAGGATCCCTGGTGGACTGAACAAAGGGGGATGAATGCGGGAATAAAGACAAGAGACAAAAGAATATGTTTGGAAGAAGGGTCAGGGGACACCTTGTCTCTAGTGAACAAGGGCCCTGAGCTTTACACAGCCCTCTGTATTTATTAGGCAAAAGAGATAGTGAGAAGGGGTGTGGAAGAAGAGGTCAGCTGCTCAGTCCAGAGTAGGCTTGCAAGACTGCATTCCTCGAACAATAGGCTCTAGACGTCCCAGTAGATAACCTCAAGGAGCCGGGGCCAGGGAGCGATGGCCCTCAGCAAACTTTCTGGGGCAGGCACAGAAGTGAGTTTGCCCACATTCTGTATTCATGATAAACAGTTTGCTCTTTGATCATGTAGCCTCCAGTGGAATGCTGAGTTGGTCACAATCCCTTTGGCCTTTTCGGCTCCCAACATATTCCCAGCATTTTGGGAGGGTGAGGCAGGTGGACCTGCTGAGGTCAGGAGTTCGAGACCAACCTGGCCGACATGGTGAAACCCCACCTCTACTAAAAATACAAAATAGTGGGGCATGCCTGTAGTTCCAGCTACTCGGGAGGCTGAGGCAGGAGAATTTCTTGAACCTAGGAGGTGGAGGTTGGAGTGAGTTGAGATCTTGCCATTGCCTCCAGCCTGGGCAACAAGAGCAAAACTCCATCTCAAAAATAAATAAATAATTAATTAAAATAAACTTCAGGATTGGGGCCCAGCAATCCGTGTTTAATAAGCCCTCCAAGGTGATTCTGATGCTCACTACTATACAGAGGAAGCCATGTACAGGAAGCCATCTGAAGACTCAGGAAAATGAGGATGTTGGAATGGATTCACAGTTGTCCCTGGGTATCTGAGAAAAACTGGTTCCAGGGGCCAGGTGCGGTGGCACAGGCCTGTAACCCCAGAACTTTGGGAGGCCGAGGCGGGTGGTTGGTTCACTTGAGCTCAGGAATTCAAAACCAGCTGGGCAATATGGCAAAAACCCATCTTTACAAAAAATATAAGTATTAGCCAGGCACGGTGGCATGCACCTATAGTCCCAGCTACTTGGGAGGCAAAGGCGGGAGGATCCCTTGAGCCCAGGATGTGGAAGCTGCAGTGAGCTGAGATCGTGCCACTGCCCTCCAGCCTAGGTAACAGGGCCAGACTTTGTCTCAAAAAGTAATAAAATAAAATGGGATAGTATTTGCATATAACATAGCACTATTCTTCTATATACTTTAAATCATCTCTAGGTTACTCATAATACTTAATACAATATGAATGCTATATAAATAGTTGTCATACTTATTTTTTATTTGTATTATTTGTTATAGTTGTATTGTTATTTTTATGTTTTATTTTTCAAATATTTCTGATCCTTGATGGGCTCAATCTCAGGATATGGAACCTGCTGATAAAGGGGGACTGGCTGTATTTATGTGCATCTTATTCAGACACCCCCTAACCATAACTCCCAAGAGGGCCTGGAGGACACTCTTTTCTTTAAAGTCTTGGTAACAGAAGCATCAGCCTCTTTAAAGAGCTGATGCAGCCACTATGATGGTTGTCCTTTGCAGACTGGAGATGATGGTGAGAGGTACTGCCAAGGAATTAGGCCCCTTGACCTCATTGGGAATACTGGAAGAAGCCAGGCAGCAATGCCGAACTGTTTTAGACCAGGTAGGCACAATTACTGTAATAAGCCATAGCAAAGGATTGACATAGTGTATTTTTACATGTGGGGATCTGTGATGATGGCTAATTGATCCCAAGGTTCCTGTTAGACTGACAGCCTTCTAAAGTGTTGCATGACACCTATAGACAAAACAATTCTAGGTCTGTTGTGCAAGAACCAAACTCAAGTCTCCATAGTGGAGAGAGCCTCATATCCAGTTTCCAGACTAAATAAATCAGGTTATAGACCCAAAGTCCCTTGACTGAGGGGGCAGATGGGAGCCTCTGAGGAAGGATTTTGTAATTGTGGCTTCATGGGTATACCATAAATCTTCCCCCAAGCCTTCTGCAGAGAGAACTATGGTTATTCATCAGGGTCTTTGCACTGGGGAAACAAAAATACTCAGCTATTTCACGGTTATTAAGATAGTGACTCTGAAATTATACTGATTTCCAGAGACCTTAAAAGCCTCTGTGATCCAGTTTTCAGAGTGAAGGCTAATGGAGGTTGCGTGAAAGATGGATTCTTGGTCTGACTTCTCACAGGAGCCCATCCTGTAATTATTTCCTCAGTCCCAGAATACACAGAAGTAGGATATAGCAGAATCATCACACAGTTTCCTTAACCCATGAGATAAGGCATTAAGGAAAGGCCAAGTAGAAGGTTTAAACCACCCCCATTCTCTGACCCACATAGTGAGTGGGATCTGTTGATTCCTACTACATTTCCATTTGATTCACCAGCTTGGCCAGCTGTTCAAGTCAGACAGGTCCGAATGAACAATGTTTCACATTTTTTTGTTTTGTGTGTTGGTGTTGGTGTTACACCTTAGGATCACCTGCAGATTTTTTTTTTAAATGGAGATGTCTGACGCCCACCCCCAGGCACTGCGAGTGTGTGTGTTTTCTAATTATTTTGAGACAGGGTCTCCCTCTTTCACCCACGCTGGAGTACAGTGGCACAATATCAGCGTACTGCAACCTCCACCTCTGGGCTCAAGTGATCCTCCCACCTCAGCCTCTCCAGTAGCTGGGACCACAGGCGCGTGCTAGCACACCTGGCTAATTTTTGCATTTTAGTAGACAAGGGGTTTTGCCATGTTGCCCAGGCTAGTCTCAAACTCCTGGGCTCAAGCGATCCTCCCATCTCGGCCTCCCAAAGTGCTAGGATTACAGGCGTGAGCCACTGTGCCTGGCCCTATTATTTTTTAATGTTTTTTAGCAACAGGGTCTCACTCTGTGACCCAGGCTGGCACGATCATACCTCACTGCAACCCTGAACTCCTGGGCTCAAGCAATCTTCCTGCCTCAGCCTCTCAAGTAGCTGGGACCACAGGCACACACCACCATGTTCTGCTAGTTTTTGCTTTGTTTTGTTTGTAGAGATAAGGTCTCGCTATGTCTCGCCTCAGCCTCCCAAAATGCTGGGATTACAGGCATGAGCCACTGCACCCAGACACTGATTTAACAATAAGGGATACCACTTGGACACAGAAACTTTTTAAAGCTTCCCAGGTGAGTCTGATGTGCAATAAAGTTTGGGAACCACTGGTCTTGGGGAATGACAATAAGTTATCACAGATTTAACAAATGATGTCAATCACAGCTGCAGTTGGCGATTGGTACCTTTATTAGACCAAATCAACACAACTCCTAATACCTGGAATAAAGCTAGTGCCATGAAAAAAATGCAACATTTTCCATTCCAGTAAGAAAAATTAAAAGAACTTGAATTATTGTGGCAGGGACAACTGATTTTACTGTCTTACTTCAGAGTGATATGAATACCCTCATTTTCTTTCATTATATAGTCTGGAGAGACTTTTATTTTCTTGATTTTTGACAAAAAAATGAAATGTGACATGTATAACATTATGCTAACTGGAGCTGGAAAGCACGAATTAGCAAGCAGCTAGATGTCTTAGGAAGACATACATATATAAGAGGTTGGGAGGTAAATACTGTTAAAGTTCAGGAGCCTGCCACATAGGTGAATCTCCTAAGGGTCTAGTGGTCTGAGGACATGGGATCTATTTTTGAAGGGAAGAAACAAGCTACCCAGGCATGACGGCTCACCTACCTGGGAGGATTGCTCGCACCCAGAAGTTCGAGGCTGCAGTGAGCTATGATCACGCCACCACACTCCAGCCTGGGCAACAAAGCGAAACCCCATCTCTTAAACAAAGGCAGTGGGGAGAGGGAGACAAGATTCTGCACCTTGCACTGGTCACCATGAAGACAGAAGCAACAATGTTTGAAGTCGCCCTTTGAGTTTGAGATAAAATATATTTGGGAATACTACCCCAACCTACTTACTGGGTAGCCCGTAAGACTGCCGATTTTTAGTGAAACCCAATGTAAGACAGGGCTCTCCAGCAGATTCAGGATGCGATGCTGCAGCAAACAGAGATGCTGTGTGGAGTCTCTTCCAAATACTATTAGGACAATCACATTGCAGACTCCTACAGCTTTGAAATAACGACATGCACACCTGTCAAAAATTTGTCTCCTCCCCACAAAGACAGGGTCTTCTTCTGTCATCCAGGCTGGAGTGTGGTGGGGCAATCACAGCTCACTGCAGCCTCAACCTCCTCCTGGGCTCAAGCGAACCTCTCATCCCAGCCTCCTGAGTAACTGGGACCAAAAGCACACACCACCACAGTTGGCTGATTTTTAATTTTTTTGTAGAGATGAGGTCTCATTATGTTGCCCAGGCTGGTCTTGAACTCCTGGGCTCAAGCAATCCTCCCACCTCGGCCTCCGAAAGTGCTGGGATTACAGGTGTAAGCCACGATACCCAGCCAATTCTTTATTTAGTCATCTTAAAAGGACACAACAGAAATGATATAAAATAACTTTTATTTACATAATTTATATATATATATAACTGCTTTCTTTAGAACAAGAAAATTTATAAATGACATGATATTGCTTTTTCTGTCAAAGACTTCTTCAAGCAAGATAGTATACATGGTCACTTTTGTTTCAAATAACATGATGGTAAACAGTGGATATTAATATTTTTGTCATGCCTCAACCATTTACCAACAATTAGGCGTTCAAATCCTCATGTTGACCACTTGCTAAGACATAAGTGTTCAGGAGAAAAAGTCAAGAAAAGATAAAAACTTTTACTCATATCTCCTTTAAAATTTGTGAAATAAATCCTTTGCAACATCTTCTTCACATGAATCAGACCTAACATAGTTCTTTCCAACATGTAAGGTAAATACATTGATTAACTTTCTCTTTTCCAAAATTAGGTTTAAGGATTTAACAGTAGGATACTTTAGCTGGCTGACTTGATTCTCTAATACAATGAGTCTCTGTATTCTTTATATAGTAAGAAATTCCATTTTCCATAAAACTAGCTCATTATAGATTAAAAAGAAACAGATGTTAAAGTTAAAAACTAATATTACACAAGGATAAATAATAGTTTAATCATGGCAATCTAACTCCCAAGCTAACACTAAGAGAATGAAATCTTTTCAGAATATGAGTTTTAAAAACTTACAAAAACAGGGTATTCAAATAGCAATGTGATTTACTACCATGATTTCTGTGACATATCAATCATGAAATAAATGCCTACTTATAGACAATTTCCGCTCCGAATTATATAGCCTCCTCTCTGACAAAGTGTTACGCCATAAATTTCACTAAAAGACAATGAATAAGAAGTGCTCTAACAGCAGTAGTTTCAATAAATTAGCATTACTGTTATATGTGCTGAGACATAATTCTCTTCTATTAAGGAACTTAAAAACTGGCCACCATTTTTTCAATATACAAACATAATTATCTAGACTCTAAAATATCTTCCCAACTGAAATACTGATCATTACATAATACAGTCAACAGTTTTAACTTTTAGGCACAACTCATAACTTTAGTGACAAATAACTCATCCATACAGATATCAGCACCTCAGGGTAAGAAAATTTGGGGCCTAATGTAGGGGGTCAAACTAAAAGGCCAATCCAGCCACAGTCCTTCATTCAAGTACTGTCTATGGCTTCTTTCACACTGAAATTGCAGAGCTGAGTAGCTGCCACAGAGACCATCTGGCCTGCAAACCCAAAACAGTTTGCAGAAAGTTTCCAATGCCTGAGCTACTATACTATCAATCCAAGAGGCTTTTCAAATAAAATCAGGATAAATTTGCTGTTTGAGAAGTCTAATTGGAACCACTACAGATCTGCTTGGGTAGATAATAGAATTACACGTATAAAAAATCAAATCTTGAAATTAAAACAAACCTTAAATTCATACTGATGATAATCATTAACTTTATAAAGCCTTATTTTCTCTGTTTTTAACATCATGATTATGTTCCGTGCTTAAAGATCCAAGTGTTCCTTGAGAATTTAATGGGAAAAAACTATGAAGAAATTGGCTTTTTAAAAACTAATATTATGTCTGTGGGTGTATAAAGGAGATTGAGCTTTGTATGGAAATTTTGTCTCATAAATAAAGTTGAGTTCCCCCTATCCTCATGAAAATCCTGAGATTATCCAAGAAAAGCAGAAAAATTTACAGTACAAAGTCAATATACTAAACTGAGGGGAAAAAGGTATTCAAAACATATACACCAGCTAAACATTTTTAGTTATATCATTTTAAATATCTTTAAAATTAAACAGAAAAAGGAGACAAACATAAATTTAATGCCTTCTTTATCTACAATCTGAGGGGTAAAAATAGCTAAAACTGAATATCCTTTTAAATAAAAAATTTAAAAATAAATAAGCCCTTTGATGTGTCATCTTTATAAATAATTATGTTTAAATACTAGTTTTTCAATTAGGACTAATGTTACATCACCATGAATTAGAAAAATATGTATTTTTCAGTCAGACAAACAGCTGATAATAGAAAAGTTCTTTAACATTTGCCATACTAAAGTGAAGTTTGACAATTTGTTTTCACATATAGTCACGTGTCCCTTAACTACATGTTCTAAGAATTGCCTTGTTAGGTGATCTTGTGTGAAACAACGCAGAGTGTACTTACAAACACTGAGATGGTACAGGCTGCTACACACCGTACAGACTGAGGCTATGTGGTATAGCCTATTGCTCCTCGGCTACAAACCTCTACAATGTGTTACTATGCTGAATACTGTAGGCAGTTGTAACACAATAGTAAGTATTTGTGTATCTAAACATATCTAAACATAAAAAAGCAATGCACTGTGTTATGATGGCTATAATGTCACTAGTTGATAGGAATTTATCTCCATTTTAATTGCATGGGACCACTGTAATATATGTGGTCCATCATTGACTTAAACTTCATTATGTGATACATGACTGTACTTAGAAGCAAATGAAAAAGCCTTCATCCTTCATCATCTCCCCCTAAAAATAAAAAATCTTCACAAAAGAAGTTGCTAAATGTTAAATATGATACAATTAACCCCCAAATCTGTCTGCACTGCAATTCATACAGAGACATATATCCACAACATTCCCAAATGTCCATGTGTGCTTAGCACAGGAAGAGTCAAAATGTAAACAAGAGTTGTTATTTCTGTCTGAGAAAGCAGTCTTAATTGCTTGCTATTTGCAAAATGCTGAATCAGTCAGAATGAAAGGAACCTCAGAAATGTTTTCCACTGATTATAAAAGCTTCAAATCAAGCTCATTAAGTATTCAAAATCAACCTAAAGAAAAATAAGACAGTGATATTTTGCTCTAAATACTGTTTTGTTGATGTAATTGACTCTGGAAATCCTAGACCTAATTTAAAAAAGAAAAAGAGAAAAGATTGTTTTATTCTGTTTCATCCACTTCAATGAAGATATCATTGAAGAAATATTCAGAGACTGTGGTTGCCTCCCCTTGAGGGGCCCGCTTTTGGGCACTTTTATATCCTTCTTTCAGTAAGGGCTGATCACAAGAAACCTAAAAAGGTAATAAAAATAAAGTAAAAATAAAACTGTAATACAACATTTATATATATATGTGTGTGTATATATAGCAGTCTAAACCAATATGATCTGTTTGAAAAGCAACGTGGCAATAAATATTGAGCTTTAAATATGTTCACAATCACTGACCCAAAAATTTCACTTCTATGCTGTTACATTAAGTAAATAATCCTAAACATAGTAGGAGTTTTATGACTAAGATAACCTTTGTAGCATTAGTTATAATAATAAAATAGGAAGCAACTAAATATACCACACTAGATATAATTAGGTAAATTACAGTGTACCCATAATCCATTACTTCATCCTAATTTCCATGAAAAATTTTAATAAAGAAAAATATAATATGGTTAAATCTGTCACTAAATAAAGTAAAAATACTTTAATTATTTGCATAATAGACAGACCCATGACAAAACAGCACCTAAAGAAAACATATCAAAGATACCTTATCAGAAATTAGCATACTTACAAATCTATAAACAAATTAAGACAGCATGGTATTGGCACACGAATGACAGATATATCAATGAAACAGAAGACTAGAAATAACCCCAATATATATAGAAATTTAGCATCTGATAAAAGTGCCATATCAAA
This sequence comes from Homo sapiens, assembly GCF_000001405.40. Lineage (NCBI taxonomy): Eukaryota > Metazoa > Chordata > Mammalia > Primates > Hominidae > Homo > Homo sapiens. Next base: position 2,051,269 of record NW_025791777.1, on the reverse strand, counting down.
AACAGTTATTGTATTATTAAATAAATGATGTTGGACAACTATATAACCATCTCAGGGGGAAAAAAGTCAGACCAATACCTTACCAAAACAAATTCTAGATGGATCAAAAGATTTAAATGTAAAAGTATTTTTTAAAAAACTCTACTATAAAAATGCCATGGAAAAACACTTTTATAATTCTGGACGGAGGTAGGTGGGGAAGGGTACCTTTTTATTTATTTATTTATTTTAAGACAAAGCCAGGCTGGAATGCAATGGCATGATCTCAGCCCACTGCAACCTCCACCTCCCGGGTTCAAGCAATTCTCTTATCTCAGCCTCCCAAGTAGCTGGGACTACAGGCACACACCACCGTGCCTGATTAAATTTTGTATTTTGGTAGAGATGGGGTTTTGCCATGTTGGCCAGGCTGGTCTCAAACTCCTCACCTCAGGTGATCTGCCCGCCTTGGCCTCCCAAAGTGCTGGGATTACAGGCGTGAGCCACCGCACCCAGCTGGGAAGAGTACCTTTTTAAACTATCTGAAAGCAGAAAGCTATAAAAGATTGACAAATTAAACAGAAATAAAAAATGTCTGCTTGACAAAAACCACCATAAATAAAATCAAAAGACAAATGACATACAGAGAAAAAAAAAATTGCAATCTTTATCACAAAGGGCCTTTTTCCCTGAATATAATAAGAACACTACAGGCCAGGCACAGTGGCTCATGCCTGTAATTCCAACACTTTGGGAGGCCAAGGCTTGAGGCCAGGCATTTGAGAACAGCATGGCCCACATGGCGAAATCCCGCCTCTACTAAAGATACAAAAATTAGCTGGGTGTTGTGGCATGCATCTGTAAGCTCAGCTAATCGAGAAGCTGAGACAGGAGAATCACTTGAACCCAGGGGATGGAGGTTGCAGTGAACCAAGATCACGCCACTGCACTACAGCCTGGGTGACAGAGTGAGTGAGACTCTGTCTCAAAACAAACACACAAAAAAAACAAAACCCACGACTTTGGCAATGATAAGCTAGACTGATATCTTGATCTCAGAAAATAATTCTAACAAATAATACAAAATGTTTTTAAAAAGTTTAAAGATGTTCTTTACAAAAGTACCCCTTCCAAAGGCTCATGCTGTTCAACAGATGCTCACCAGCCTTCTCTTTGTCAAGATCTTAAGTCACCCCAATATTTTTACAAAGTCTTTGATACAGGTTTACAGAGTTTTCCATCCCAATACTTGCCATTGGACAGCTTCAGGAGACATAGAAATGAAACATGTGAACAAATTCTAGTTTTACAGTTCCTTAAATTCTTGTGGGTGTCAGCACTGCTTCCTTTTGCTTCCACAAGTCAGAAGGGTCTCTAGATTAAAGGAATGGCTATTAAGTGTCCATTTATGGTTAGTTCAATGGCTCTGTACTAATCTAACTGTAACTTCCTGACTCAACACCTTTTCTTCTTCCATTATGGAGGAACACGATGGAGAGAAGGATGGGAGTTGCTCTAAAATAATTTCTGACATCAAATAAAAATAACAAATTACTATGTTTTCCCTAGTTGAATCTCATATCCAACCCATCTCATACAAACTATAAAATACAGTAGTTATCACATACCTGAGTTGCTGAGCTGCTAATATTCTCAGATTGAGTAGTAATAACACTTGGAGATGGAAGCAGATCAGAGGACTCTCGATTTTTTTCCTGGCTTTCATTGAATGGATTAGATCTTTTCAATTTCTTTCTTAATCCAGGTATAAGAGGTTTTAGGCGTTTCTTACTATGGACTTGCATAGGTTCATCAGACTCCAAACTATTCTTTGAGCATATTAAAGATAAAAATCCCAGGGGTCTTCTGCCAGGTCTAGAAATACAAATGTAACGATATTCAAGAATACCCAGGAAGACACATTCTTTTTTTTTTTTTTTTTTTTTTTTTTTTGAGACGCAGTCTCACTCTCACCCAGGCTGGAGTGCAGTGGCGCAATCTCGGCTCACTGCAACCTCCACCTCCCAGGTTCAAGAGATTCTCCTGCTTCAGCCTCCCAAGTAGCTGTAGTAGAGACGGGGTTTCACCATGTTGGTCAGGCTGGTCTCGAACTCCTGACGTCGTCATCTGCCTGCCTCAGCCTCCCAAAGTGCTGGAATTACAGGCGTGAGCCACCGCACCCAGCCAAGACACAACCTTAATACCTGCTTCTGCTTTGGGAGGCTAAGGTGGGAAGACCACTTAAGGCCAGGAGCTCAAAAACAGCCTGGGCAAAATTAGCAGGACCCCGGTCTCTAGAACATCTCTAGCATTCAAATCACTTGGGGATCTTATTAAAATGAAGATTCGCACAGTTGGTAGCGGGCATGGCCTGAGTTCTGCATTTTATCAAGTTCTCAAATGATGTCCATACTGCTGTTGTCAGGACTACACTCTGAGTAGCAAAGCTGTGGAACAGTGGTCAGCACAGTATGCTCTACAGGCCACATGCAGCCCCGCACCCAATTCTGTGAGTATGTTTTACTGGAACACAGCTATGTTCATCTGTTTACATATGGTCTATGGTTGCTTTTGTGCTGTAACTGCAGAGCTGAATAGCTGTTAACAGAGACCACATGGCTTACAAAGCCTAAAATATATACAAATGCCATTTTACAAAAAATGCTGACTTCCGTTCTAGAACACTGCTTCTCAACCTGTTTTAATCCAAACTCTCATGATGTTATTATTTTATTTTAATTTATTTTTTGAGACAGTTTCGCTCTTGTTGCCCAGGCTGGAGTGCAATGGCACAATCTCGGCTCACCGCACCCTCCGCCTCCTGGGTTCAAGCGATTCTCCTGCCTCAGCCTCCTGAGTCACTGGGATTACAGGCATGTGCCAACATGCCCAGCTAATTTTATATTTTTAGTAGAGATGGGGCTTCTCCATGTTGGTTAGGCTGGTCTGGAACTCCCAACCTCAGGTGATCCACCCACCTCAGCCTCCCAAAGTGCTGGGATTACAGGCATGAGCCACCGCACCCAGCCTTTTTTTTTCTTTTTTCAGAGACGGGTCTGGCTATGTTGCCCAGGCTGGAGTGCAGTGGCTATTCACAGGCACAATCATAGCTCACTGCAATCTCAAACTCCGGCCTCAGCCTCCTGAGTAGCTGGGATTATAGGCATGTGCCACTGTACCTGGGCCTCATTCTATTTTCAGCACATATCTAAGGCCAGAAGAGATACCACTGAGCTTTACCTTCTATAATTTAGATAACAAAAACAATAGATCTATTAAATATGTCTTTTAAGCTACATGTGTCCTTTCCCCAACCCCTTCCCCTTAGTGGAGACTAGTGCATGTTCCCCCACCTCTTTCAGTTCAGCAACACCACATTAATCTTCTGGATGCTGCTGACAAGCCAATAATTATTGATAATCATTGCTTCTAGAATATGAGGAAATTGTGAGAGAAGTTGGCTCTTGCTTAAATTCCAACACTTATTCTTATGGGGAGAAAGCCATGGTTTACCTCTTTGGTTTGTCACAAGGGAGAAAAATGACACATTATTTGGGACTTCAGTAAAACAACTTCTGATGTCAGCATCCATACATATGTGCATTAGTAGCTACTGAACATGGTAGATTATGTAATGATCAAAATAACCATGGATAATCTAAAAAAATAAGTGTACAAAATATTCTAAAGATTTTCTATCTAAAAAAGTTTTAGCACTTAAGCTCTTATTGTACAGAATGTGTATCTGCAATATTACTGTATTTCCTTGGCTGAAACTTTTTCCTTTACATTACTGATGGAGGAATATGTTTATTAAACACCATCCTTAGTACTGGATCTAATCTGTTCTGTATAGGTTATATTTATTAAGACAGAGAGCAAAACACTTATTAAAGATTTGTTCATGATACCTGGATAGTGAGGCTTTAGAAGACGATGTTCTGCTATCCATTTGCTGAGACTTAGGAGCAGCATCAGTTCTTTCTTCCTTATCAGACACAATCATTTCATCCTGAGGTAACTGAGGCACATTCTTGTCCATGCATGCATCAGGAGATCTAGATCCTCTACTCTGAAAAGCTGCTTCAACTTGCTGTCTTTGAGGTTCTGGAGTTGTCAGTGTGCTTCCTGAGGTAAGAAAAATATCTTGTCCCTTGTGAGACTCCCCTTCAAAAAAAAGAGCAAATGGAAAGCAAGGATACTGAAGTTAATACACTCCATGTAATCCCAGCATTTGAAAAGAAACCCATGGTATTCTATAATAAACCTACCCTAATAAGAGTAAGCTAAATTATCATTAGTGGAGTTACTTGGATTATTAAGAATATTATAATTGGTTAATAAGGTATGCTAACAGCTTCTGCATTCAGAAACAAAATAGTTATATCAATATATTTTGGCCTAGAAAATATTTTCCCAGAAATATTTCCTGAGCAATCAAAATGGGAGAGTGATTACTTTCTAAAAAAGCTAAGGTTTGTTAAAATTTAGAAACCAAACCAATCCAAAATATAGGTGGTAACTCAAGTACCTGTGGTCTCCTGAAAAGTAAAACCTACAGACTCTCAAATACTCAAGTTTAGCTAAAGAATTCTCTTTCCTTAACTAAATAGTAGACAAAAGCCAAAGTAGCCAAAGATTAGGACAAAATAACTAAAGCTTTCTTGCTCAATAAAAAACCTGTTTTCCCTTAGTATAGCTAAGGCCTTGTTCTCAGAGAGAGTGTTTTAGCTCTGTGAAGGGAGAATGAAGTTGATAAGTAAACCTGCTAAAAGAAACAACCTAATTAAAGATAGCATAGAACAAATTCACTAACACTTCACTGTATTGTGGTTTGCTTAATGCTTTTATTGGAGAGCAGATGGATGGGAGCAATCTTAGAACATCTCTAGAGGCTGTAAACTGTAACCATATTACAGTTTCACAGTCAAAGTTGGGACAATTAAGTCTAAGACTGTATTAACATTATAAGAGTTTTTTTGTTTTTGTTTTTTTGAGACAGAGTCTCGCTCTGTCGTCCAGGCTGGAGTGCAGAGGCGCGATCTCGGCTCACTGCAACCTCTGCCTCCCGGGTTCAAGCAATTCACTCACCTCAGCCTCCCGAGTAGCTGGGATTACAGGCATGCACCACCACACCTAACTAATTTTTGTATTTTTAGCAGAGACAGTGTTTCACCATGTTGTCCAGGCTGCTCCCGAACTCCTGACCTCAAGTGACCCACCAACTTTGGCAACCCAAAGTGCTGGGATTATAGGTGTGAGCCACTGTGCTCAGCCCATTATATGTGTGGGGTTTTTTTGTTGTTTTTTTTTTTTGTTTTTGAGACAGAGTTTCGCTCTTGTTGCCCAGGCTGGAGTGCAATGGCGCAATCTCGGCTCACCGCAACCTCTGCCTCCCAGGTTCAAGTGATTCTCCTGCCTCAGCCTGCCGAGTAACTGGGATTACAGGTGCCCGCCACCACGCCCAGCTTATTTTTGTATTTTTAGTAGAGATGAGGCTTCGCCATGTTGGCCAGGCTGGTCTCGAACTCCTGACCTCAGGTGATCCACCTGCCTTGGCCTCCCAAAGTGCTGGGATTACAGGCGTGAGCCACCACGCCCAGTCAAGTATTTTTTGTTTGTTTTTTGAGACAGAGATTTGCTCTGTCACCCAGGCTGGCGTGCAATGGCGTGATCTCAGCTGGCTGCAACCTCCGTCTCCCAGGTTCAAGCAATCTCCTGCCTCAGCCTCCCAAATAGCTAGGATTACAGGCGCCCACCACCACGCCTGGCTAATTTTTTGTATTTTTAGTAGAGATGGGGTTTCGCCATGTTGGCCAGGCTGACCTCAGGTGATCCACTCACCTCGGCCTCCCAAAGTGCTGAGATTACAGGCCATGAGCCACTGCGCCTGGCCCATTATAAGTGTTTTTAAAGAACCAGAACCATCATAGGTTATCAAACCCTTCTCTATCTTGTAACTCTAACTCTGTAAGATGCCATCAGCAACATTTTTATTCTTGAGTGCCATTGCCATGGTAAAGCAATGGCTATAGGTGTGAATGATAAGCCTAACTTTGAGAGAAAAGAGAAATAATGTCATAAAAGAAATGAAAAACAGAGTTGTATAAACACAGGATAAATGTGACTGGCAGCTTTAGTCATGAGGGAAATAGATCCTAAGTGGTTTAATGTCCCACAGAAATTTTAGATTCCTATAAAAATAGAAGACTCTAAGATCTTTTCAGCTTCCATAGGTGGCTTAAGCCTGAAAAAATCTCTAGAACTAAACTAATTTTCAGGGTAAAGAACCTATTATGAATGCCATTATAGGCCACAGGTGGTGGCTCATGCTTATAATCCCAGTACTTTTGGAGGCTGGGGTGGGCAGACTGCTTGAAGCCAGGAGTTCAAGACCAGCATGGGCAACATGGCGAAACCCCATCTCTACAAAAATACATTCAAGACCAGGCTGGACAACATGGTCTCTACAAAAAATACAAACTCTGTCTCTACAAAAAACACAAAAATTTCGAGGCCGGCAGATCACGAGGTCAGGAGATCAAGACCATCCTGGCTAATACGGTGAAATCCTGTCTCTACTAAAAATACAAAAAATTAGCTGGGCGTGGTGGCAGGTGCCTGTAGTCCCAGCTACTAGGGAGGCTGAGGCAGGAGAATGGTGTGAGCCCAGGAGGCAGAACTTGCAGTGAGCCGAGATCGCACCACTGCACTCCAGCCTGGGTGACAGAGCGAGACACCGTCTCAAAAAAAAAAAAAAAAAAAAAAAAAAATTAGCTTGGCATAGTGGCGCATGCCTGTAGTCCCAGCTAGTTAGGAGGCTGAGGTGGGAGGATTGCTTGAGCCTGGGAGGTGGAGGCTGCAGTGAGCTGTGATTGTGCCACTGCACTCCAGCCTAGGTAACAGAGTGAGAACCTGTCTTGGCGGGGCGGGGGAGAAAAAAAGCCATTACATTCAGCTAACTCCTAAAGTGTAGTTATTGAGCTTACATAGAAAATCCTTGTAGCCACATAGTCTTCAACTGATGACAGGATGAAAAGACCTTCTTTTGCCTACCAAACTGCCAAATCCAAGGCCTTTGCAGGAAAGAAGTGCTGATAATACAAGTATTACTCTTGGAGAAAAGGAATACTCAGTTTCAATCTCATATTTGAACAAGGTATATCCCAAATAATCAGGAGTATTTAGCAAAATGCAATCATGTTAAAATGTATTTCACTTACCTGTTTCCTCAAAAACATTTGTTAATTCCTTTGAGTGCACCTATTTTAAGAAAATTTAAAAAAAAATTTAGAAATTTATCAAGTAAAACTGAAATTAATTTTATTTCCTTTTTTTCTTTAAGTAAAGAAACTATGTTATCTCCCAAAAAGCTCTTAGAGGAATTCTACTAAACATTTATGGCAAAAATATTGCTACTATTTTAAAATGTTCCAGAGCCCACTGGAAGAGAGAAAGCTGCTAACTGCCTTTTATAATCAGTCTCAATATCAGTGCAAAAGTATCAAAGAAATAGTACAAGCAGCACATCAAAAGACTACTACATCACAATCAAGTAGAGCTCGTTTCAGGAATGCAAAGATGATCTGACACTATGAAATCTAATATAAACCAACAGACCTGAGGAGAAAAATCATCTGTATTTATAGAAAAGGTACCCAATGATATTCATTCTTGAAAAAAACTTATAAAATGGAACAGATATTTTCTTAACACTATAAAATATAACTATTGCAATCTAGAAGCTAGCATCCCACATAATAAACACTGGAAGTTCTCCTATTAAAATCGGAAATTAAAAAAAAAGATGTGCACTATTTGGATCACTTTTTAATATTATTTTTTAGTTATATTAGCCACTATAATTACAAAAAAATTAGAACTACAAAAAGTAGAAGAATTAAAATTATATTTGCAGATGGTATGTCTGTTTACCTACAAAACCCAAGAGAACCAACTGAAAAATTACTGCATACAATGAGGGAACTCAGTAAGCTCTCTAAATAGAAAAGAACTTAATGATAACAGCAACAAAAAAGATAAAACTCATAGGGGTAACCTATAAGAAATGTGTAAGATTTATATGAAGAAGAGTTTAACACAAAATAGAAAGACACAAAACAAGACTTAAACAAATGGAAAGACATACCATGTTTTTGAATAGGAAGATTCAATATTATAATTATGCTGTCAATTTCCCCTAAGTTAATCTAAGTTAATATGATTCAAATACAAATACCAATAGAACTCTTTTTTAAAGAGCTAAACAAGTTAATTCTAAAATTCATATTAATTTGAGAACATATAAGTAATGAGGAGAAACTTGAAAAAAGAAGAAAATTGTATGGGTTTGGGAGAGATACTGTCCCTATAAGATACCAAAGTGCATCATAAAGCTACAAAAATTCGGCCGGGCGTGGTGGCCCACACCTGTAATATCCCATCACTTTGCAAGGCCGAGGCAGGCGGATCATCTGAGGTCCGGAGTTCGAGACCAGCCTAACCAACATGGAGAAACCCCGTCTCTACTAAAATTACAAAATTAGCTGGGCGTGGTGGCGGCTGCCTGTAATCCCAGCTACTCGGGAGGCTGAGGCAGGAGAATCACTTGAATCTGGGAGGTGGAGGTTGCAGTGAGCTGAGATCACGCTATTGCACTCCAGCCTGGGCAATAGGAGAGAAACTCCATCTCAAAAAAAAAAAAAAGAATAAAGAAAACTACAAAAATTCAAACAGTATGATGATACTGGCCCCAGAACAAATAGGTGAATCAACATAAAAGAAAAGGAAGTTTTAGGAATATATCCAAACAAATATGAAGATTTACTGTCTTACTGATAAAAGCAGAATTTCCTATCAGTGGAAATAAGATGAATTATTCAGTAAACGGTAAAAGTCATATGAGGAAAATTAACTTGGCCCTATTCCTTACACCAAATCAAATTCGCAACAAATCAGTAATATTAACATTAACTAGGAAATTTAAGTCTCAAAGGACTTTCAATGTATAACATAATCTCCAGAAGCCATACACAAAAAGACTGATAAATCTGATTATGGAAAATAAAAAATGTCTTCTATCTGAATACAGTGTATGTGTATCCTACAATTTTGTACAGGCTGAGCATCCCAAAGCTGAAAATCCGAAATGCTCCAAAATTCTAAACTTTTTGAGTGCTGACATGACACTCAAAGGAAATGCTCATTGAAGCATTTCAGATTTTGGCTTTTCAGGTTTGGGATGTGGAACTGTTAAGTATAATACAAATGTAAGTATAATGCAATTATTCTAAAATTCAAAAAAATCTGAAATTTGAAACACTTCCGGTCCTAAGCATTTCGAATAAAGGATACTCAACTAGTAAAAGCAATTTTTAAAAAATTGTTAAAATGCTAAAAACAAAGTTTAGAAAATAAAAATCACAAATAAGCCAAATGGACATTATACTTTTCTTACATATTCACACCACTGTATAACTACCATTTTTTAAATGGCGTATCATAGTCTGGTGACCTAGTTTTGTACTTAGTAAAGTACTATGGTCTTTTGTCCATGTCATTAAAGATATTTTTAAAACAAAACAAAATAATGTCTGCATGGAATGCTGATAAATTATTGAAACTGGGTGACTGGTACATGGGGGCACATTATACCTAGTCTATCTTTTAATATGTCTGGAAATGTTCATATAAAAAGTTAATCCAAAAGTTCTGCATGAGAAAACAACAACAAAGAAAGCAGAGTCAAGAGACAATGACAAACTGGGAAAAAAGATTTGCAACTCATTACCACAGACATATATAAGAGTTCTTCCAGTTCTCTAAGAAAAAGATCAATAATCTAATTGAAAAGTGGGTAAAGGAAAAGTCAGTTCATAGAAAAGGAAATACACATGGCTCTTAAGCATATGAAAAGATGTTCAATCTTACCCATAACAAGAGAAAATAAAACAGTTCTGGGATATGCCATTTTTTTACTCACCAAATATATAAAAGCACACTTGCTCTTTGTCAACTATTACTCAAGAACTATTGGTCTTTAACTTTCTCTTTGAGAACACGGGTTTTAAAAGGACTTTTCCATAGTGTAGTTACAAATTATGATGAGTACTAGATGAGTATAAAAACAAGAGGGTACTAGGAAACCTACAACATAGTGGTTGGTGACTGAATTCGCATGGTCTGGCCGGACTTCCCTGAGGCACTGATGACTGAACTAAAGAAGTCTGTATGTTTTTCAAGGGAATGTTTCACACAGAAGGTACATCAAATGAAGTGTCCTGGGACATTTAAGGAATTGAAAGATGGCCAGTGTGGCCAGAAAGTGAGGCAGAAGCTGGCACAAAATGAGACTAGAGACAAAAATCAGCAAGACAATGTGGGGCACTAAAGGCTGTGGTTTTACTCCTAAAAGCAATGGGTAGCTTTAGGCATGATGATGATGATGATGATACTAGTATTATCATTTTACATATTAGGAAACCTGATCAGAGAGAGAGGTGAAGTATCTTGCCTAAGGTGTTACAGCTACTAGGTGGTAGAGCCAAGATCCAGACATATATAATGCTTTTGGTCTTATTTTTAGCCACCAATACAGAGCTGGGAATAAGTTTCTTGATTACTCTCCATCAATTTTCATTTACCATTGGTTAAAAGTGATAATCCAAAACCAGTTTTACTTGAATAACTTATGATGATAAATGTCAGAACTATCTTTATATATATCTAAAAGTTTAAAGAGAATAAAGGAAAAAATAGGAACAGATCTGTTGCAATATGGCCATCTTACTTAATGGCCATATTGAGTGGTACTTAATATACCACTTACCTCAGTGGTATATTCTTGACAGTCATCTCTTAAAGTGAGTGAACGTTTTTTGGCAGGAGGAATGTGGTCATTTTTATCAAGCCTGCATTGAAATCTCTTCCTAGATACAAGATCCAAATTATCAGGCGGCTTTTTAGAATTATCTCTTCCAGAAATAGATAAACCCATGGCATCTTGACCAACTGAAGTTGCTGGTAAACAAATACTGCATAGAAAAGAAATACATACTAAATTACTGAATTAGAAGTTATTTAACACTTTTTTTTTTAAAGGATCCTAGAAATCCTTCCAATAATAAAGTTAAAGGCTGAGGTATTCCAATGAAAATTCCAATAAAACCAAAAAACTCCAAACTAAGAGATACACGGCCATGGCCCCAAAAATGCTATTAATAGTTTTGAGCTCCATTCATACTTCAGGGCTTATAACTTAAATTCCATAGTATTGAATTAAATCTGAATATTACCCTCTCCCTCTCCCTCTCCCCATGGTCTCCCTCTCCCTCTCTTTCCACGGTCTCCCTCTGATGCCGAGCCGAAGCTGGACTGTACTGCTGCCATCTCGGCTCACTGCAGCCTCCCTGCCTGGTTCTCCTGCCTCAGCCTGCCGAGTGCCTGCGATTGCAGGCGCGCGACACCACACCTGACTGGTTTTCGTATTTTTTTGGTGGAGACGGGGTTTCGCTGTGTTGGCGGGGCTGGTCTCCAGCTCCTAACCGCGAGTGATCCGCCGGCCTCGGCCTCCCGACGTGCCGGGATTGCAGACGGAGTCTTGTTCACTCAGTGCTCAATGGTGCCCAGGCTGGAGTGCGGTGGCGTGATCTCGGCTCGCTACAGCCTCCACCTCCCAGCCGCCTGCCTTGGCCTCCCAAAGTGCCGAGATTGCAGCCTCTGCCTGGCCGCCCATCGTCTGGGATGTGAGGAGCCCCTCTGCCTGGCTGCCCAGTCTGGAAAGTGAGGAGCGTCTCTGCCCGGCGGCCATCCCATCTAGGAAGTGAGGAGCGCCTCTTCCCGGCCACCATCCCATCTAGGAAGTGAGGAGCGTCTCTGCCCGGCCGCCCATCATCTGAGATGTGGGGGGCGCCTCTGCCCCGCCGCCCCGTCTGGGATGTGAGGAGCGCCTCTGCCCGGCCGCGACCCTGTCTGGGAGGTGAGGAGCGTCTCTGCCCGGCTGCCCCATCTGAGAAGTGAGGAGCCCCTCCGCCCGGCAGCCGCCCCGTCTGAGAAGTGAGGAGCCCCTCCTACCGGCAGCCACCCCGTCTGGGAAGTGAGGAGCGTCTCCGCCCGGCAGCCACCCCGTCCGGGAGGGAGGTGGGGGTCAGCCCTCGCCAGGCCAGCCGCCCCGTCCGGGAGGGAGGTGGGGGGGTCAGCCCCCCGCCCGGCCAGCCGCCCCGTCCGGGAGGGAGGTGGGGGGGTCAGCCCCCCGCCTGGCCAGCTGCCCCGTCCGGGAGGTGAGGGGCGCCTCTGTCTGGCTGCCCCTACTGGGAAGTGGGGAGCCCCTCTGCCCGGCCAGCCACCCCGTCTGGGAGGGAGGTGGGGGGGTCAGCCCCCCTCCCGGCCAGCCGCCCCGTCCGGGAGGTGAGGGGCACCTCTGCCCGGCCGCCCCTGCTGGGAAGTGAGGGGCGCCTCTGCCCGGCCGCCCCTGCTGGGAAGTGAAGAGCCCCTCTGCCCGGCCACCACCCCGTCTGGGAGGTGTGCCCAGCGGCTCATTGAGAATGGGCCATGATGACGTGGCGGTTTTGTGGAATAGAAAGGGGGAAAGGTGAGGAAAAGATTGAGAAATCGGATGGTTGCCGTGTCTGTGTAGAAAGAAGTAGACATGGGAGACTTTTCATTTGGTTCTGTACTAAGAAAAATTCTTCTGCCTTGGGATCCTGTTGATCTGTGACCTTACCCCCAACCCTGTGCTCTCTGAAACATGTGCTGTGTCCACTCAGGGTTGAATGGATTAAGGGCGGTGCAAGATGTGCTTGTTAAACAGATGCTTGAACGCAGTATGCTCGTTAAGAGTCATCACCAGTCCCTAATCTCAAGTACCCAGGGACACAAAAACAGCGGAAGGCCGCAGGGTCCTCTGCCTAGGAAAACCAGAGACCTTTGTTCACTTGTTTATCTGCTGACCTTCCCTCCACTATTGTCCTATGACCCTGCCAAATCCCCCTCTGCGAGAAACACCCAAGAATGATCAATTAAAAATAAATAAATAAATAAATAAATAAATAAACAACTAAAAAATAATAATAAAATAAATCTGAATATTTAATAGTATTTTCCCTAATTGTAAAGTTAAACGTTTAACCTAAAATGTCCCTTCTAGTCCAGGCGCAGTGGCTCACGTCTGTAATCCCAACACTTTGGGAGACCGAGGCAGGTGTATTACCTGAGGCCAGGAGTTTGAGACCAGCCTGGTCAACATGGTAAAACCCCATCTCTACTAAAAATACAAAAAATTAGCCAGTGTGGTGGCACGCACCTATAGTCCCAGCTACTTGGGAGGCTTAGGCACGAGAATCACTTGAACCCGGGAGGTGGAGGTTGCAGTGAGCTGAGATCACGCCACTACACTCCACCTGGGCAACAGAGCAAGATTCTGTCTCCAAAAATAAAAATATTAAAGTCTTCAATTTCTAATGCTACACGATGGACAATTATCTTAATTAATGGTAGTTAAGATATAACTTACTTCCAAAATAAAGAATTAAAATAAGAGTATCAAGAACAGCTGGGCACAGTGGCTCATGCCTGTAATCTCAGCACTTTGGGAGGCCAAGGTGGGAGGAATGCATGAGGCCAGGAGTTCAAGACAAGCCTGGGTACCAGAGCAAGACTCTACCTCTGAAAAAAGAAAAAAAAAATTTTTTTTTAATTAGCTAACCACAGTGGTGCGCACCTGTAGCTGAGAAGCTACTTGAAAGGCTGAGGCATGAGGATCTTTTTTTTTTTTTCCTCACTCTATCACCCAGGCTAGAGTGCAGTGGTGCAATCTCAGCTCACTGCAACTTCCACCTCCCGGGTTCAAGTGGTTCTCCTGCCTCCGTCTCCTGAGTAGCTGGGATTACAGGCGCAGGCCACCATGACCAGCTAATTTTTGTATTTGTAGTAGTGATGGAGTTTCGCCATGTTGGCCAAGCTGGTCTTCAACTCCTGACCTCAGGTGATCTGCCCACCTTGGCCTCCCAAAGCCCTGGGATTAAAGGCGCAAGCCACCACGCCTGGCCAGGAGGATCTCTTGCGCCCAGGAGTTCGAGGATGCAGTGAACTATGATGGCACCACTACACTTCAGCCTGGCACTCTAGCCTGGGCACCAAAGCAAGTCCCTGTCTCTTAAGAAAAAAAACTGTATTTATTACCACTGTACTATTTTCACAACTTTCTGTGAATGCATATTTCACAGTTTCATATGTGTATGTTTATACAAAGTAACCACACTTTTAACAGGTATCATTTTATGATCTAGACTGTTAATTTTTTTAGCTTTCAAAATAACTTAATAAACAAGTTTCATACAAAACTAATACATGAAACATTTAAGTGGCATCTTTATCAGATATAAAATCTACCACATTACATTTCTTCTCTAACTTACCACATAAATGATAAATAAGATCTCCACAACAATAACAACTAACATTGGTGAATGGTTTGTTCAATCAATGCTACTTAGTTCATAAATCACTTTTCCTCCTAGCAAAAACAGTTTCACTCATTCGTTACCTCATGTCACCCCTTTCTTCGGTATTCACTGATTTGACCAATATGGGAGCTGGCAGTAAAGGGTTTGGCATGAACTGTGCAGTGGCATCAGTAAATTCTTCTACTGCATTGGCTGGGATTTCCACCAGAGTTAAAATAAAGGCTTGTTCATCTTCTCCATCTTGAGGTACATTAGCAACTAGATTCACTATCAAAGTTTAAAAGTTAGTAATAAAAAAGCTCAACTATGAAATAACAGAGTATCATTAATTTATTTCATTTCTAAAAAGACAGTCTCAGGACAACTTATCATCAAGACTAAATAAATAAATGCTCCCCCCAACAACCCCCCAGCCTGAGGAAGTAAGTTCCCTCCTTTTTTGCGGGGGGGAGACAGAGTCTCGCTCTGTCGCCCGGGCTGAAATACAGTGGCACAATCTCGGCTCACTGCAACCTCCGCCTCCTGGGTTCAAGCGATTCTTGTGCCTCAGTCTCCCAAGTAGATGGGATTACAGGTGCATGCCACCGTGCCTGGCTAGTTTTGTATTTTTAGTAGAGATGGTGTTTCACCATGTTGGCCAGGCTGGTCTCGAACTCCTGGCCTCAAGTGATCTACCCACCTCCGCCTCCCAAAGTGAGCCACCATGACTGGCCCAAGAAGTAATTTCATAAAGGATAAAGGTGATATACTAGGGAGAAGATTTATGACTCTGAAAAACAAAACTGATACACAAAATACTTCAAGGTGTTTCTATAAAACGTTTTAAATTTAAGGCCAGCATAGACTAAAATACAACTGTTTTATGTTTTTCCATAGTTAAATAAGGGGTAAAAATCATACAACTAAGTTCTATGACATGTCACTGAAGCATATTATCATACCTGTTAGGTCTTGAGGATTGATTATATTCTCTTGTTGGACTTCTGGAATACTTGTTGGTGTATACTGCCATAAAAAATTAAAATGAAAGAGTCAGGTTGGCCAAATCTTACATTTAAAAAGTTATTCCTGTCAATATGATATAGTGAAGAGATTAACTCAACAACATCTAACCATATACAGTTTTCAAGTGTTTGAAGCTTTAGGCTGTTCCAATAAACTTTTGATTCATTTAAATAAATATTAATACAAAGAATCCTGACTACATTGTTAAATATGTGCATTTTATGAAATGATTTTTGAAGTGACAGGATAGGGAGACCCAAACCCCACAACTTTTTCTCTACTCCCATCACACCAGCCATTGTACTATTAGTAGGTGACATCTGAATGAAGGCAAACTGCTTTCCCTGCATGCAGTATGGTTCCCTCCTGTTTTCCAAAAAACCACAAACATGGTTTTTCTAAAATGCAATCCTGACTGTAATTCTCTACTGCTTAAAATCTCTCAGCTCACCACAACCTCCGCCTCCTGGGCTCAAGCGATCCTCCCACCTCAACCTCCTGAGTAGCTGGGAGTACAGATGCACGCCACCACACCTGGCTAATTTTTTTGTATTTTTCAAGGGTAGAGATGGGGTTTTGCCATGTTGCCCAGGCTGGTCTCAAACTCCTGGGCTCAAGTGATCCACCCACCTAGGCCTCCCAAAGTGCTGGGATTATAGGTGTAAGACACTATGCCGGGCTTCTACTGCTTAAAATCTTTTATTATTTTATTTATTTATTTATTTTTTTGAGACAGTCTCGCTCTGTCGCCAGGCTGGAGTGCAGTGGCACAATCTCGGCTCACTGCAACCTCCGCCCCTCTGCCTCCTGGGTCCGAGCAATTCTCCTGCCTCAGTCTCCTGAGTAGCTGGGACTACAGGCACACACCACCATGCCCAGCTAATTTTTGTATTTTTAGTAGAGACAGAGTTTCACCATGTTGGCCAGGATGATCTCAATTTCTTGACCTCATGATCCACCCGCCTCAGCCTCCCAAAGAGCTGGAATACAGGTGTGAGCCACTGCGCCTGGCCTGCTTAAAATCTTAAAACTTTCATTTTGTAACCAACAATGTCAGTAACTGATTAAGGCAGGAATCATCAGTGGATATTAAAACTACAGGGTAACAGCTTGCTGCGTTGGTCTCATTTGACAAGTTACTAATACAGAATGGAAAAGATGCCATTATAATGAAGAAATCTGGTAGGTACCATTCTAGCCAAGTGATCAGTCAGCATCACCAATAATGGGACAAACTGACATTATGTGTCTCCCGATGTGATATAAAAGGAAGAACACATTATTACCTATATAGTAATCTTGCCCTAAAATATGTAAGTTGAATCTAGTAATGAGGAAGCAATTAAAAAAAAGAAATCCAGACTGTAGGCCAGCCTAGACTGGTCTAAACTTCTCTTGCTTTTTCTCTTTTGTGAACAAAAAGACAAGAAAAATACTCTAGATTAAAGGAAAATAAGGAGAAAGGATAATCAAATGCAATGTGAGAGCCCTGATTGGATCTTGAATTTAAGAAAAATAAAAAAAAAGCTGGCCAGGCGTGGTGGCTCACACCTGTAATCCCAGCACTTTGGGAGGCTGAGGTGGGCAGATCATTTGAGGCCAGGAGCTCAAGACCAGCCTGGCCAACATAGTGAAACCCCATCTCTACTAAAAATATTATACGAAAAAATTAGTCAGGTGTGGTGGGACACACCTTTAATCCCAGCTACTTGGGAGGCTGAGGCACAAGAATCACTTGAGCCTGGGAGGCAGAGGTTGCAGTGAGCTGAGATCGTGCCACTGCACTCCAGCCTGGGTGACAGAGTAAGACTCTGTCTCAAAAAGAAAAAAAGCTATAATGGACATGATTGGGACAACTAGGGAAACTGGAATGAAACTGTATATTACATATTGTTGAGACAATGTTAAATAGTGTAGTAATACTGAGTGTGACAACAGTACTGTCCTTTCTCTGTAAGAGAACTTCCTTGTCCTTATTAGATACAAGATGAGGTATTTATGGACTCAACCTACTTTCAAATGATTCAGTTTTTTGGTTTTTTTTTTTTTTTTTTTTTTTTTTTTGAGACAGAGTCTTGTTCTGTCGCCCAGGCTGGAGTACAATGGCACGATCTTTGGCCACTGCAACCTCTGTCTCCTGGGTTCAAGCAATTCTCACACCTCAGCCTCCCAAGTAGCTGGGATTACAGGTGCATGCCACCACGACTGGCTAATTTTTGTATTTTTGTAGTGATGGGGTTTCACCTTGTTTGCCAGGCTGTTCTTGAACTCCTGACCTCAGGTGATCTGCCCACCTCGGCCTCCCAAAGTACTGGGATTACAGGCGTGAGCTACCCCACCCAGCCAAGTATTTATCTATACAGATGGAGAGCAAGACAGAGTAAAAAAACAAATGAGGCAAAATATTGACAATTAATGAATCAAAGTGAAGTGTATGGGATAATTCTTTGTAAGATTTTTGTAACTTCTAAGTTTAAAATTTTTCAAAATAAAAAGTAAAAATTAAAAAGTCAGGGTGGGGTAAGGAATCTCGTAACTTTAAATGTAACCAAACTCCTTAGCAAGTCATAAAAATCCTTTTATGATCTGTCTGCAGGCTATCTTTCTAAGTTCATCTCTAATCACTTTCTTCATTAATATTCCACTCATACTGCTTACATGCTGTTTCATACTGGTTTGTTCTTGGAAACAGGGTCTCACTCTGTCTCCCAGGCTGGAGTGCATGGCGACCACAGCTCACTGCAGCCTCTACCTCCCAGGCTGAAACGATCCTCCCACTTCAGCCTCCTGAGTAGCTGGGACTACAGGCAAATGCCACCATGCCTGGCTTTTTTTTTTTTTAATGGCATTAAAAGTGTGAGCCACTGCAACCGGTCCACACCTGTTCTTTACACACACGTTCCTCTCCCTTTAACTGGATAATGTATACATGTTCTTCAAGTCCAAGGCTTCTCTCACTTGGGGAACTTTTTATGGAACTGTTCATGTATTGGTTACATGACTGCATAGTTATAAAAACCTGAAGAACTGTACACTAAAAAGGGTGAAGTTAGCCAGGCACAGTGGCTCATGCCTGTAATCCCAACACTTTTGGAGGCCAACGCAGGTGGATCACTTGAAGCCAGGCGTTCAAGACCAGCCTGGCCAATATGGCGAATCCCGTCTCTACTAAAAATACAAAACCTAGCTGGCTGTGGTGACACATGCCTGTAGTCCCAGCTACTTGGCAGGCTGAGGCAGGAGAATCTGTTGAATCTGGGTGGCAGAGGTTGCAGTGAGCTGAGATCATACCACTGCACTCTTGCCTGGGCAACAGAACAAGACTGTCTCCAAAAAAAAAAGAAGAAATAAAGAAAAATGAAGATAAAAGAGGTGAAGTTTATTGTATGTAAATTATACCTTTTTTTTTTTAAATGGAGGAAAACACCTTGCTATCCCTTATTATACTGTACATTCTTTTACCTCTGGCACAGGAAGTGTAAGCACACTGTCTCCTTTAGAGTCCTTTATCTGGGGCTCTTCAACAGAATTTTCACCAAGACCCCTATCCAAACCAAGTGTGCAGGGCCCTGTCTCAGAGGAAGCAACTGGAGCAACTGACAACATGTGAACCTCCTGAGAGCTCTCTTCTTGATTTTCGTTTCTGAAAGAGAGTTTAGCATGCATGTCATTTGAAATCAGGCAAATCATGGAATTATTTTTAGAGCTAGGTGTGTAAAAGATCATCTAATTCAATGGTTTTCAAACTTTTAAAACATATTTAATGCAATAGGACTTTTTTTTTTTTTTTTTTTTTTTTTTTGAGACAGAGTCTCACTCTGTCGCCCAGGCTGGAGTGCAGTGGCGCGATCTTGGCTCACTGCAAGCTCCGTCTCCCAGGTTCACACGATTCTCCTGCCTCGGCCTCCCAAGTAGCTACAACTACAGACGCCCGCCACCACGCCCGGCTAATTTTTTGTATTTTTTAGTAGAGACGGGGTTTCACCGTGTTAGCCAGGATGGTCTCGATCTCCTGACCTCGTGATCCTCCCGTCTTGGCCTCCCAAAGTGCCGGGATTACAGGCGTGAGCCACCGTGCCCGGCCAGAACTTCTTTTTCAAATTCTTACAGCCACAACTTAAGGCTATAGCTGAAACAATATAAACTGAATCTCAGAACCTCTTCACTCTTTTACCTTTCAGTTAGGTTTACTTCTGAAGAAATACTGGTCCCTTTGATACCATGTACACATGCCAATTTGCTCTGATCCTTATTCTCTGCTGTTGTAACTGGTCCGAGGTTTTTATTTTCCAATTCTGTTGCTTTGGAAGCATTTTTCTCTGTTTCTTAAACAAAAAGCACACTTACGATATAGACCAAAATAATACAGCTAAAATCCCTGTATTAGAAACATATGCCCTCTTAAAAGGAAGATTCCTATATAGTGACTCTTCCAAACTTCTCTTATTCCACAAATCAGGCTTATACACATGGCAGAAAGTCCTAGCTAATAGATTTTTGAACAGTAAAACACATGATTAATAAATCCTGTTCTACAAAAATTTCACTCATGGCTGCCATGATAATTGTATCCTCATTTTATGGTACTAGCATCAATAATTAGAAACTCAACATATAAAAGAGACTTCGAGGTGGGTACACCGAGGTTGGGCTAGTTCCACTTTAGAGGAAGTCTTGGAAAAGGAGCTGCACTGCAAAGAATAATATCACAAACGGGGAAAAAAAGACTTCTATATAGAAGAGGTAATTTGAGACTGCACGTTGAGAGAGGTTTTAGAAAAGGTGACCTCTCATGGTTCTCATGTATTTTTCATCATGTTTAGTGCAATATTGTGAATAACCCCATGGGACCCATACAAAGTATCATTAATGATGTTGGAAGCACTCCCAAGAAGCAGAGAGAGTCATAACATTGTAAGAAAAAGCTGAATTGCTTGATATGTATTACAGGTTGACACCTGTAGTTGGGGTTGCCCACCATTTCAGACAGATGTTTCATCTTGTAAACAGATGACATAAACTTTTGGTACTAATAAATACAATGCAGTACTGAAAATGTATTTTCTCTTCCTTATAATTTTCTTCCTTTTATTTTTCTTTGAGACAGGGTCTTGCTCTGTCACCCAGGCTAGAGTGCAGTGGCAATATCACAATTTACGACAGCCTTGATCTGGCGAGCTCAAACCTCTGAGTAGCTGGGACCACAGGTGTGTGCCACCACGTCTGGCTAACTGTTAAAAATTATTTTGTAGAGACAAGGTCTCCCTATATTGCCCAAGCTGGTCTCAAAACTCCTGGGCTCACGTGATCTTCCTGCCTCTGCCTCCCAAAGGGCTAGGATTTCAGGTGTGCACCACCACCGTGCCCAGCCTGATTTTCTTTTTTCTTTTTTCTTTTTTTGAGATGAAGTCTCACTCTGCTGCCCAGGCCGGAGTACAGTGGCATGATCACAGTTCACTGCGACCTCAACCTCCCCAGGCTCAGGTGATACTCCCACCTCAGCCTCCTGAGTAGCTAGGACTACAGACATGCACCACCATGCCTGGCTAATTTTTGTACTTTTGTAGAGATGGGATTTTGCCTTGTGGCCCAGCCCAGTCTGGTTTCATCAAATGAGCCACCCACCTTGGCTTCCCAAAGTGCTGGGATTACAGGCATGAGCCACTGTGCCCAGCCCCAGTCTGACTTTCTTAGTAACATTTTCATTTCTCTATGGCTCATAACATTTTCATTTCTCTATGGCTCATAACATTTTCACTTCTCTACGGCTCAAGGACATGAGTTGAAAAAACAGAAAAAACAATTTTTTTTTAATTTTCTCCAGCCCATTTTATCATAAGAATACAGTATATAACACAAATAAAATACAAAATATGTGTTAATTAACTATCTTATCAATAAGGCTTCTGATCAACAGTAAGCCATTAGTAGGTAAGTTTTTGGGGAGTCAAAAGTTATACATGAATATATATATATATATGTTTTCAATTCATAAGAGACAGGGTGTCACTATTGTCCAGGCTGGCCTCGAACTCTTGGGCTCAAGCCTCCCAAAGTGCTGGAATTACAGGTGTGAGTCACTGCACCCAGCCTATACACAAATTTCTGACTGAATGGGGAGGTCAGTGCCCCTAGTTCAAGGGTCAACTATGAGAGAGAGAGAATGAGAGAAAGAGAGAGACAGAGAGAGAATAAAAGGACAAAAAATTGATCAAACAAATGTAGCAAAATGGTATTAATTACTAAAACCAATTGGTAGATTTATGGGTATTTATTTTATAGCTCGTCTTACTTTTTAATTTGAAACTATTTTATTGTAAGTTAAAACAATTTAATGACCAAATATTTCTTTGAAATGTTAATGTAATTTCTTGTGTCAAAATGATTTTGCAACATATTAAGAGAATAAAATTTACCTCTTTGAGTTTCCATTTCTGCCCCTTTGGTTACACACAAACTGGAAACTTCCTGATAATCATCAAGCCTGTTGGTCCCTAAAGTCTTCTCAAGATTTGGTTTAGGCTTAGCAAGCCTACTTCTTATTCTCAAATTACTGGTCACTTTAGAAATTGTATTCCTAAAAACAGAAGATAGAGAAATTCATGAATCATGTTAGATCTTGCTCTCTCACATTAATACAGTCTGTCTAGCACTGATAGAGTGAATGACCTGTTAGGTGCCACACTGTCTACAAGTGTTCATTTCTTAATACTAAAATTACAAAGTAGTAACTTTACTAGAGGTCTTAAGAAGAGAATTTAGTCTGTATTTGTAAAACAGAGACATTTACATAAATCTATTTCATTAAAGCTTCAAAGATACACAACATTTACTACTATAATTTAAACATGCAAACCACTAACCTAAAATCAAAATCAGTCTATCTTTAAAGGGTAAGAAATTAGC
Source organism: Homo sapiens (assembly GCF_000001405.40). Classification (NCBI taxonomy): domain Eukaryota; kingdom Metazoa; phylum Chordata; class Mammalia; order Primates; family Hominidae; genus Homo; species Homo sapiens. Next base: position 2,028,917 of record NW_025791777.1, on the reverse strand, counting down.
ATTGCCTACTTTACATTTAAAGCATTACTCAAAGCTATTAACTAATTTGATGGTGGTTTTAGTAATATTTATTAATTGAATACTAAAATAAACCTGGTTGGTGTAGCATTCTCCTTTACTTTCTCCATTAAACTTATTTCTTCTCTGGAACTTTGTTCCTCCAATACAATCTTGTTTTCTTCAAATGATGCAGGAGATGTAGTAATGACAGGTGAAGAAAGTTCCTGACATTCATGAACAATTTTGTGATTTACATTATCTAGGCTAGAAGGAATATGGCTTTTATCCTTTGAATGAACATGAGGAATTATACATACTCCTACTGAAGAAAAAAAAAAAAAACAAAATTAAAATGGACCAAATTATAGATGCTCAAAATAAATTCCTCAACATTTAGTAATTGTAAAATTCTGTATTATTAAAGTTTGCTTCATTTGTGTGGCAGCAATAGAAAAAGATTTTAGAAATAAATAAATTTTGCCCTTGTTGGCTGTAAATTTATGATCTCCCTATTTCATGCCAGGGATTTGACCTGTTGTGAGCTTAATAATCCTTACAGACTGGAATTTTATCCGATTATTAGTAAAAATGAGTTCTTTTGTTACTTTCAGTAATTATATAATCTCAGATGGATTTCAAGACAGCACTGTCAGCATTTAAGATTTTTAAAACCTTTATGTTCTATATGTACTTTATGTTCTATATGTTTTTGACAGGCTGTACTGCAATACTCTGCCACTAAGAAAGGAGCCCTATACAGAACACAAATCAGAGACTTTCCTGATAAATACATGGTTCCAAGCCTAAAAGTCTAATATGTCTTTATTTATCTATTTTTGAGACAGTGTCTCACTTTGTCACCCAGGCTGGAGTGCAGTGGTGCGATCTCAGCTCACTGCAGCCTTGACCTCCTGAGCTCAAGCGATCCTCCCACCTCAGCTTCCCAAGCAGCTAGGACTACAAGTGTACACCACCATGCCTGCCTAATTTTTTGTATTTTTTGTAGAGACGGGGTTCCACCATGTTGCCCAGGCTGGTCTTGAACTCCTGAAGTCAAGCATTCACCAGCCTCAGCCTCCCAAAGTGCTGGTATTATTGGCATGAGCTGCTGCATCTGGCCCAAAAGTCTAATACTTAAAATGAATGGAAGCTGGGTGCGGTGGCTCATGCCTGTAATCCCAGCACTTTGGGAGGCCAAGACGGGTGGATCACCTGAGGTCAGCAGTTCGAGACCAGCCTGGCCAAGATGGTGAAACCCCAACTCTACTAAAAATACAAAAATTAGCTGGGCATGGTGGCATGCGATTGTAATCCCAACTACTTGAGAGGCTAAGGCAGGAGAATTGCTTGAGCCTGGGAGGCAGAGGTTGCAGTGAGCCAAGATCGCACCATTGCACTCCAGCCTGGGTGACAAGAGCGAAACTCTGCTTCAAATAAATAAATAAGATGAATGGTAGGCTACTCATAACCAAACTCCGTCTCAAATAAATAAATAAGTAAATAAAATGAATGGTAACCAGGCAAAATAATTACCAGGAATAGTATAATTATTCATTTCATGCAATTAAAAGATATTGAGATAGTAAAGATTTATCACTTGTCTGTGATTTCCATCTAATAAGTTAAAAATCTTGGTTGATATATCTTTTGGCTCTGTCCAAACTGAGAACAGTTTAAACTAAATTATTTCAATGAGTGCTATTGTCTCTTTGTGCTCTATTTGTCATCTAATTGTGAATACCATCCCAAGCAGCAACTCCTTTGCAAAAGACACATGTATAAACTATATCAGTGATCAATGAGCTCAGTTAACCAATGACATTTATGATGGTAAAGGTAGTATTCACTACCTTTACCATGCATACAACTATTCCATGCATACAACTATTCCATGAATACAAATTATTCTTAATAAACCAAGAGCATGATCTTGAATTAGCTGTCACTACACCTAAACAGTAGTAAAATAGTGGATGGATCAATACATACATATCATATTTTATGGAAGAACAACAAAATGGAGACAACTTCAAAGGTAAAAGGGTTATTACTCAAATGTGGGTATAATTTCTTAAGTTAGGTTTTAAAAGTTTCTATTTTTGATAGGACTTAGCTTTCATTCTTACCATCACCCTGTTCACTACTGATCTCTGACTGCAATACTAGATCTCCCATTGTAAGTAAAGTTATTGCAGCTTCGGTGCTTCCATCATTGGTACCTTGTGAGGAAATATATCAACATTAAAAAAAAGAATGAATCCGGAAATCTGTTCACTTAAAAAAGATTTTTAATTAAGGTGTTTATCTCCTAGGAGCAGATTCCAATATCCTCTGAGCCATTAATCCCTTACTAAGGTAGTCTTTTGTTCAGGTTATATGCTACAAATAAATAAATCATCACTGTTGGTTTTGACTCACTGACCATGCCTCCCTCCCATTAAATAATATCTTCAAGGAAAATGCTCTCCCATTTGTGAAGATCCAGAGGAAATGCTCAAATACTTCTTAAACATTTTTTTAATTCACCTTCTAAAATAACATTCCAAGAATCCACATTTCTCACAGAGACAACACATTCAATAGCTGAATCTTTTTGTTAAACTCTCCAGCAAACTGATTCATTTATTATCCCCACTATTAAATCACTGTACTAGTGTTAATCAAGGTAGTCTTAGCAGTTTCCTTGATAACAGTTACCTGGTTCATCTTGGATATGTTCACTTGTGGTCATTTCCTAAAAAGGAAAAAAATAAGTAACATCTTAAAATACTTCCCCAAACATGTTCTGTTTCTCAGCATGCACTACATTTTCAGAGGTCTTTCCATACTTTTAGCTACAATAGTGTAAACTGGTTTGTCTTAATTTATAATTATTCACAAAATTTCACCAGCAAGAACATAAACAATTTAAAGGCAAAATTCTTGTGTCTCTTGCTCCTGACTTTATCTTTTTCTTGTATTATGTGCAAATTTTAACTCTTATCATTTTGTTATGTACGTCTACCATTCTTACTTTACTTCTTCATTTTCATAATCCTTCAACTCTAGTCATATCTGCTGCCAATTTTTACCCAATGGAAACCAAGGCCTAAAGGGTATTGCAAAATTTTTATACTACTACGTAGCTTAAAACTTAAATGCATTTTAATAAATTAAGAAGTTACAGAACCAATGTCCAGAGCGACAGCTTGAGAAGCTTCACTGACCCACTCCTCAGTGAAACTGATTTTAAAAACAAAACATTTAAAAGCCTCTGAAACTGATCCTAACGACAAAAAGCAAATGAAGAAATATCTGTTCAAGAAAATCTGAAAATTTGCTAACAAAGGTGAGAGTCTATGTGAACTAACACTGCTCTTTCTCTCTCCTTCCTCCCAGCTCAGCATGGCAGAGACTCCACCTCAAACTGCTGCACCCAAAAATACAAGGCCCCCAGTCCCCAAGGTCCCACCTGGAGAGCATTTTTCCCTAGGGGAGTAGGACTTCATCTCCTGACATCACAAGAAAAGTACAGACCAATATCTATTATGAATATGGACATAAAAATCACCAATAAAATACTAGCAAGCTGAATCCAACAATGAATAAAAATTAGACATTATGATCCTAGAATTTATCCTGGGGAAGCAAGGTTGGTTTAACGTCCAAAAAATACAATGAAAAACAAAATTCACATGATCATCTCCATAAATGCAGAAAAAGCATATGACAAATTCCAACACCCTTTAATGAAAGAAACATTCAACAAACTAGGAATAGAAAGTAACTTCTTTAGCCTGGTAAAGGACGTTTATGAAAAATCCATGGTAACATCATACTTAATGATAAGACAGGATGGGAGGAGTGGTAGCAGCCAGGCAGCCCAGCTTTGAGAAGGCTCTCAGCATGGTGCGGCTCACAGGCACCCAGCATGCACACTCCTGACCACAAGATGCCCAAGAGGAAGATCAGCTCAGCAGAAGGGCGGTGAAGGAAAGAGCCCAAGATGAGATTAGTATGACTGTCAGCTAAACCTGCTCCTGCAAAAGTGGAAACAAAGCCAAAAAAGGCAGCAGGAAAGGATAAATCTCCAGACAAAAAAAGTGCAAACAAGAGAAAAACGGGGAACAAAGGGAAAACAAACCAAAGTGGCTAACCAAGAAATCAGATTTACCTACAGAAAACAGAGAAACAAAAACCAAGGAAAGTCCAGCCTCTGATGAAGCCCAGAGAGAAAAAAAGCCAAGTCTGATTAATATCATATACTATGTCTTACCAATAGTACCTGTCTCCCTTCTTGTACATTCCAGAGGAATATTTTTCTCAACTATTTCACAAATGCAAGTTTTTTAGTAACTCTAGAAACATTTTTAAGAAGAAGGAAATCCCACCTCATCCCATTTTTTAAGTGTACATGCTTTTAAGGGTAAAAATCATTTTCCAGTTGTTTATTTTTTGGTACAACCAGAAAACAGTGTGCGATATTGAATTATGGGAGGCTTTGACTGTCTTGGGTATCATCTTAACATTCCACTATATTAACTGGCAATATGGAGTCACAGTCCTGTATCTGATGTCTTGAAATTTTTAAGTTACTTTTATTCCCATGGTTTGGTTCTGGTTCTTTTTTTTTTTTTTTTTTTTTTTGGTTTTTTGGTTTTTTGGCTTTGAGACAGAGTCTTGCTCTGTTGCCTAGGCTGGAGTGCAATGGTGCAATCTCCACTCACTGCAGTCTTCGCCTCCTGGGTTCAAGCAATTCTCCTGCCTTAGCCTCCCAAGTAACTGGGATTACAGACATGTGCCACCATGCCCGGCTGATTTTTTGTATTTTTAGTAGAGACGGGGTTTCACCATGTTGGCCAGGCTGGTCTCAAACTCCTGACCTTGTGATCTGCCTGCCTCGGCCTCCCAAAGTGCTGGGATTATAGGCGTGAGCCAACGCGCTCGACCTGGTTCAGGTTTGTTTGAGACAGAGTCTTGCTCTGATGCCCAGACTGGGGTGCAGTGACGGCGATGACAGCTTACTGCAACCTCAACCTCCTGGGCCCAGGCGATCCTCCTGCCTCAGCCTCCACAGTAGCTGGGACCACAGGCGCATGCCACCATGACTGGCCAACTTTTAAAAAACATATTTGTAGAGACAGAGTCTCCCTCTGTTGCCCAGGCTGGCCTTGAACTACCATGTGATCCTCCCACCTCCCAAATTACTGAGATTATAGGCATGAGCCACCGCGCCTGGGCCCATGTTGTTTTTTAGCAGAATTGCTTCCTAAAGAAAACCACTCCTTGATCATGGCTCTCCCTGTCAGAATTGTATGCACTCTATAAATCTTTGGTTGTGGTAGTCCTGTTTTCCTAATAATTTTGTTAATGTGCTGTGAAAGACTGAAAATTTGAGTATGCAGTATATATGCTATTTAACTGCAAATTGTGGAAGTATGTAACAGTTTATCAACATGTAAGGATACTGGTACTTGATAGCCTTTTAATGAAAACTTGCCTCCAAATTTTAAGCTGGAAAGTCACCAGAGTAACTTAAAAATAATTACAATACATGGCTTTTTAGATTTTCGGTATAAATGTGAAGAATTGTGTACTGATCCTCAACACAACCAATAAAATCTCAATTATGAAAAAAATAAATGATGAAAGACTGGATACTTTACCCCTAAGATCAGGAATAAGACCAAAATGCCCACTCTCGCTTCTATTAAACTTTGAACTATAGGTTCTAGCCAGGGCAGTTAGGCAAGAAAAAGAAATAAAAGGCATTCAGGTCAGAAAGTATCAAAGGTTGAATTGTGTCCCCTAGAAAGATATGTCAAAGTCTTAAACCCAAATAATGTGAATATGACATTATTTAAAAATAGGGTATTTGTAGATATAATCAAATTTAGATGAGGTCATATTGGATTAGAGTTGGTGCTAATCCAATATGACTGGTGTCCTTTCCTTATAAGATGAGAGGTTACACATACACAAGGGGAAAATGCCATGTGGTAATGGAGGCAGAGGGTGGAAGTATGCTGCTGCATGCTGAGAAATGGTAAGGACTGCCGGCTACCACCAGAAGGCAGGAGAAAGGCATGGGATGGTTCTTCCTCAGAGCCTCCAGAAGGAACCAACATTGGTGACACCTTGATTTTAGACTTCTAGACTCTAAAGCTGTGAGAGAATAAATTTGTTTTGTTTTGTTTTTCTCATCTCCATAAGTGCCTGGAGAATTCTCTGTGGTTATAAGCTATCAAGTTTGTGGTGCAAAGAGTACCCGACTTAAAATTTTTTTATTTTAGGCCGGGCACGGTGGCTCACACCTGTAATCCCAGCATTTTGGGAGGCCAAGGTGGGCAGATCACCTGAGGTCAGAAGTTCGAGACCAGCCTGACCAACATGGTGAAACCCCATCTCTACTAAAAATACAAAAATTAGTTGGATGTGGTGGCGGGCGCTTGTAATCCCAGCTACTCTGGAGGCTGAGGCAGGAGAATCACTTGAAACTGGGAGGCGGAGGGTGCAGTGAGCCTCCAAGATTGCGCCATTGCACTCCAGCCTGGGCAACAGAGTGAGACTCTGTCTTTAAAAAAAAAAAAAAAATTGTTATTTTATGATGGGTTTATCAGGACATAATCTCCTCATAAGTCGAGGAGCATCTGTACTTTGTTACAGTGATCCTAGGAAACTAATACAGAAAGAAGTAAAACTATCTTTATTTGCAGATGACATGATTTGACAAATAGAAAATCCTAAGGAATCCACCAAAGAAGTTGCAGGATATAAAGCTAATATACAAAAATCATTTTTATTTCTACACACTTGCAACGAACAATCCAAAAATGAAATTAAGAAAACAATCCCAGGCCGGGCACGGTGGCTCATGCCTGTAATCCCAGCACTGTGGGAGGCAGAGGCGGGTGGATCACCTGAGATCAGGAGTTCGAGACCAGCCTGACCAACATGGAGAAACCCCGTGTCTACGAAAAATACAAAATTAGCAGGGCGTGGTGGCATATGCCTGTAATCCCAGCTACTCGGGAAGCTGAGACAGGAGAATTGCTTGAACCAGGGAGACAGAGGTTGTGGTGAGCCAAGATCGCGCCATTGCACTCCAGCCTGGGCAACAAGAGGAAAACTCCGTCTCAAAATGTGGTGGGCGCCTGTAGTCCCAGCTACTTGGGAAGCTGAGGCAGGAGAATGGTGTGAACCCAGGAGGCGGAGCTTGCAGTGAGCTGAGATCATGCCACTGCACTCCATCCTGGGCGACAGACGAGACTCCATCTCAACAACAACAACAAAAAAAAAACTTACTACAAAGTAACAGTAATCAATATAGCATCACCAGCATGAGAACAGACATATAGATCTATGCAACAGAATTGAGAATTCAGAAATAAACCCATACATCTATGGTCAGCTGATTTTTGATAAGGGTGCCAAGACTATTCAATGGGGAAAGAATAGTCTTTTCGAATAAATGGTGATAGGACAAATGGATAGCAACATGCAAAAGACATAAGTTGGATAATGAGGTTATCCATGTATAAAAATAAACTCAAAATGGATCAAAGACTTAAACGTAAAAGCAAAAATCATCTTTTAGAAGAAAAATGGGTAAATCTTCATGACCTTGGGTTTGACAAAGGACTCAGATCTGACAACAGAAGCATGAGCAACAAATGAAAAAACAGATTAACTGAACTTCATCAAAATTTAAAACTTTTTGCTTTAAAGGAAATCAAGAAAGTGAAAAGACAACCCCACAGAAAGGGAGGAAATATTTGCAAATCATATACCTGCTAAGCAACTTTTATCTAGATTATATAAAGACTCCTTACAACTCAATAATAAAAAGACAAATAGCACAATAAAAGAAAAACAGACAAAAGATTTGAATAGACATTTCTCAAAGATGATATACAAATGGCCAATAGGAACATAAAATGTGCCTGACATCATTAGTCACCAAGGAAATACAAATCAAAACCACAATGTGACACCACTTCACACTCACTAGGACAGCTAGATCCAAAAAGTCAAGCCAGACACAGTGGCTCATGCCTGTAATCCCAACACTTTGGAAGGCTGAGGTAAAAGTATCACTTGAGGACAGGAGTACGAGACCAGCCTGAACAACACAGCAAGACCCCACCTCTACAAAAAAAAAAAATTAGCTGGGCATGGTGGCACACACCTGCAGTCCCAGCTACTTGGGATGCTGAGTGGAGAGGATCATTTACACTCAGGAGGTCAAAGCTGTAGTGTGCTACAATTGTGTTACTGCACTCTAGTTTGGGTGACAATGCAAGGCCGTCTCAAAAAAAAAAAAAAAAATCCACCGAACAAAAAAAAAAGTGAAATAACAAGTGCCGGCAAGGACATGGAAGAACAGGAACCCTCATAAACTGCTGGTGGGAATGTAAAAGGGTATAGCTACTTTGGAAAACAGTTTGGCAGTTCCTCAACTGATGAAACATAGAGTTACCATATGACTCAGCAATTACATTTTTAGAAATGTACCCAAGAGAAATAAAAACATATTGTACACAAACACTTCTACATGAATGTTTACAGCAGCATTATGTATAACACACAAAAAATGAAAATAATCCAAATGTTCATGAATGGATGAATGGATATACAAAATGTACCATATCCATATGGAATATTATTAGGCTACAAAAAGTAAGGAAGTACCACTACATGCTGCAACATAGATGAACAGTAAAAAATGTTACATTAAGTGAAAAAAGCCAGACACAAATGATCAGATTTTATAATTTCATGTCTAGGAAACATCTAGAACAGGCAAATCTATAAAGACAGAAGGCAAATTATTGGTTCCCCAGGCCAGTGAGGGTTGGGAGGAAAGGAGTAGTGACTGCTAATAAGGTTTCTTTTTGAGGTGATGAAAATGTCCTAAAATTGACTGTGATAATGTTTGCACGATACTAGAAGTCACTTAATTGTGCACTTTAAATAATGAGAAAATCATATGGTGTGTAAATTATATGTCAATAAAGCTGTTTTTAAAAAGTTACAATTTCAAGCCTCCGCTTGCAAAGGCAAATAAATACCAATAATGGAAGAGTGCAAATAAAACGCAACAGAATATATTTTAACTTGTTTATACTTAGTATAAATTTAATGCAACTGAATTTTAATGTAAAAGTCTATGAGGATATTAAGAGCTCTGCCCACAAACAAACAAAATCATTGCTTTCACTAGTTTTTACTACTCAGACTAACAGCTCCTTACAAAGAGAAATTAGCTAAGTAAAGTGTTTATAAACCTAAAGCTATCAAAAGGAACCTCCAGTCTTTTCAAAGTAAACAAAGAATAAAAGGCCAAAACATATTAAAATGGATGCTTACAAACGGTACACTCAAATTTTCTTCTTGTTTCATTTCTTCAGTAGTCACATCTGTGTTTGGTAGCTCATGTTCAACAACAGCTATGCATCCTACATCTGGGACATTCACAGTTATTTCAAGCTGTCAAAATAAAGTTTTATCATTTCATTTTGGCATATTATAAACAGCAAAACAAAGCCTCATCTTCAACATGAATAAGTAAGATGAAACGCTAAAATGAAGAAATAATCCACATTCATACATAACTTAAAAAATGGAATGGAGTAATTCTTTTATTGACTGACAGCAACTTGGCAAAAGTAAAACATTTAAAATTTTTGAGGTGGCTGTGACTATTAAAACCAGTAAGCAAATTTTCTAAGACTCATCTTCTTAGTGCCTGGCATTTCATTTTCCATTTTCTTCACTTTGTCCTCACTTTCCCCCTAATTTCTCTGTTCAGTCTGTTAACATTTATAGAAGGCTAGGTGTACAGGGATATAAAGTCAAATAAGATAAGTGTAGTCCCTATCCTCAATGAATTCACAATCTAACAGAAAAGCAGACATGTAATCAACTAATTATATACGGTCATAAATGCTATCTATAATGAGTTGAAAGCCCTTAGAAGTATTTATCGGGCCAGGCGCAGTGGCTCACGCCTGTAATCCCAGCACTTTGGGAGGCCGAGGCAGGTGGATCACCTGAGGTCAGGAGTTCAAGACCAGCCTGGCCAACACAGCGAAGCCCCATCTCTACTAAAAATACAAAAATTAGCCGGGCATGGTGGTGCCTGCCTGTAGTCCCAGCTACTGGGGAGGCTGAGGCAGGAGAATCGCTTGAACCCAGGAGGTGGAGGTTGCATTGAGCCGAGATTATGCCACTGCACTCTAGCTTGGGCAACAGAGTGACAAGTTGTTCTCAAAAATAAATAAATAAATAAATAAAATATTTATCATACCACTGCCCCCACACCAACTCCCTTCTCCCAAAACCCCAAAGCCTGCACGATTCTTGATACCCAGGGCAACAGCCATGTAAAATAAGAAGTTCACTCATATTTACTCTTCATTTGTGAGTCCTATTACTTAAAGAGCCGTGTAATCTGAGCACTAAAAAGGTATTTACCTACTAGAATACATACAATATAGTCTGGTTCTTATTATCTTATTTTTTTGTTTTTCTTTTGTTATTCTGAGGCAGGGTCTCACTCATGTCACCCCAGCTGCGGTGGTGCGATGATGGCCACAACACCTGGGCCTATTCTCTTATTAACAGAAAAAAACAGTATAAAACGTTGTATGGCTGAGTAGAAACTGTGAGTAAAGAGTCAAGTCTGAGAATCTGCCTTCAAGACATACGTTATTTTTTTTTTGAGACAAAGCCTCACTCTATCGCCCAAGCTGCGGTGCAGTGGCACTATCAGGGTTCACTACAGCCTCAACCTCTCAGGCTCAAGCAATCCTCCCGCCTCAGCCCTCCAAGTAGCTGGGACTACAGGCATGTGCCACCATGCCTAATTTTTGTATTTTTTGTAAAGATGAGGTTTCGCCATGTTGCCTAGTCTGGTCTCGAACTCCTGCACTCAAGCGATCTGCCCACCTTGGCTTCCCAAAGTGCTGGGACTATGGGCATGAGACCCTGTGCCCAGCCAACATATTTGTTATAATTACATTTGTATGTACCACATCTGTTTCCTCAGATACAAAATTTAGAGAAAAATCTTTGGTAATATCTGACAGGACTGGGATGAACCAAAAAATTCAAGTGAGCACGGGGGCACATGCCTGTAGTTCTAGCTACTCGGAGGCTGAGGTGTGAGGGTCGCTTGAGCCTAGGAGTTTGAGGCCAGCCTGGACAACACAGCAAGATCTTGTCTCCAAAAAAATGAATTTAAAAACAATAGGCCAGGCACGGTAGCTCATGCCTGTAATCCCAGCACTTTGGGAGGCTGAGGTTGGCAGATTGTTTGAGCTCAGGAGTTTGAGACCAGCCTGGACAACATGGTAAAACCCCATCTCTATTGAAAATAAAATAAAAAAAAAATTAGCCGGGTGTGGTGGTTGTGCACCTGTAGTCCCAGCTACTCAGGAGGCTGAGGTGGGAGGATTGCTTGAGCCTGGGAGGCGGGGGTTGCAGCAAGCTGAAATCATGCCACTGCACTCCAGCCTGGGCAATGGAGTAAGACCCTATCTCAAAAAAATAAAAATAAAGAAAAGAAAAATAAATAAATGTAACAAAAAAAAATTTTAAAGTTCAGATGATTTGAGAAGAAAAAATACTTCTTGAAGAGTTGGGACTGGATGGGAAAAGGGAATATTCTATAAAGTAAAAGTTGGTTTTTTAAGCATCATACAGTTTATTTTAAAAAAGACTTGCAATTCACATAACATACAGTTAACCCACTTAAGGTGTACAATTCAATGTATTTTGGGATATTCACAGATATGTGCAATCATCACCACATTCAAATGTGGAACATTTTTGTCACTTCAAAAATAAACCTTATACCCATTAGCTATCTCTCCCTTAACCCCTCTCTTCCCCATCTGCCAAAACCTAGGCAACCATTAATCTACTTTCTGTCTCTGTGGACTTCCTTATTTTGGACATTTCATATGAATGGAATCACACAGTATGCGATACTTTGTAACTAGCTTCTTTCACTTGGCCTAAGGTTTCCAAAATTCATCCATGTTGTGACACATATCAACACTTTATATCCCTTTAGGGCTGAAAAACATTCCATTGTGCTTCAAAGCTTTTGTCTCCTCCTGTTGTCCAGGCTACAATGCAGTGGCATGATTGTAGCTTACTGTAACCTCAAACTCCTGGGTTCAAGCAACCCTCCCCACTCAGCCTTCTGAGTAGCTGGGATTATAGATACGCACCAACACACCTTGCTAATTTATTGACTGAATGTAGAGACAGGGTCTTGCTATGTTGTATAGGCTGGTCTTGAACTCCTGCCCTCAACTGATCCTCCGCCTCAACCTCCCAAAGCACTGGGATTACAGACATGAGCCACCATGCCTGGCCTTTCAATGCTTTTGTTTTTTGAGACAGAGCTTCGCTCTTTCGCCCAGGCTGGAGTGCAGTGGTGTGATCTTGGCTCACCACAACCATTGCCTTCTGGTTTCAAGCGATTATCCTGCCTCAGCCTCCCAAGTAGCTGGGATTACAGGCGCCCACCACCACGCCCAGCAAATTTTTGTATTTTTAGTAGAGATGGGGTTTCACCATGTTGGCCAGGCTGGTCTCGAACTCCTGACCTCGTGATTCGCCCACCTCAACCTCCCAAAGTGCTAGGATTACAGGTGTGAGCCACCGTGCCTGGCCTCAATGCTTTTTAAAGAACATTTTTTCTAACATATATATGAATTTCCCTGTTTAGTAGGCTGGCCATAAGGAATAGAATCTAAGGAAAGCCTTGTCAATTACTATGATTAATGCTATTAAAAAAGATAGCCTGTATTAATTCAGGGATACAGTCTGGAATCTAATTTTCAGAAATTAATTACTGATAGTTTCACTAGCAATTTGCCTTCACTTAAAGAAAAATACAAAATATATAGCTAAATGAACTCTCATGCAGCATTAACCAGATATCTTTCCACAAAATTACTCTTCCTTCTGCATTTTCTTGGTTTCACATAATGCTTACATTTACTATCTTTACTTTGAATTGTAAGAAACAACCTCATTTTGCATCATTTAAATTAGCTTCAACCATTTTATTAGTTCATTTACTCTAAAACATTTACCAGGTTATTATTAACACTGAATAAAAGTAGATTTTGACTTCCCTTCATAAATGTGACTTTACAGATTCAGATAATCCGTTAATTCTTAATGGAATTACATTAACATGTAAAGTTTACCTTAATTATCTTAAACATTACTTGAATTGTTTACTGTTTCTTACTGCTTCTTTTATTGTTGCCACTATCTTAGTTAACTCTGATTCATTTCAAATTACTCAGAAACTATCATGAATGCTTACACAAAACTGACTCAGATATGCTCCTCAGTAAGCCAAAGAAGTGACTGAAAATTAAGGCAGAACAGAAAACTTTGAAGTTACAAAGTTGGAATGGCAGACTAACAGGCAAAAGTGTAAGGAAGCTAAATATGTTCAACACGTTTCTCTAGTTCACAACCCTTAGGATGATTACTAGCCAAAGTTACAACATAGCTACGACTGGTGAGGATGTAGCGAAACTGCAATGCTTGTACACTGTTGATAGGGATGTAAAATGATAACAGCCCTATGAAAAACAGTATAAAGGTTGCTTGAAAAGTTAAGTATAGAATTAACATAAGATCGAGGCCGGGTGCAGTGGCTCACACCTGTAATCCCAGCACTTTGGGAGGCCCAGGCAGATGGATCATTTGAGGTCAGGAGTTTGAGACCAGCCTGGCCAACATGGTGAAACCCCACCTCTACTAAAAATACAAAAAAATTAGCTGGGTGTGGTGGCAGGTGCCTGTAATCCCAGCTTCTTGGGAGGCTGAGGCAGAAGAATTGCTTGAACCTGGGAGATGGAGGTTACAGTGAGCCAAGATTGCGCCACTGTACTCTACTCCAGCCTAGGCAACAGAGACTCCATCTCAAAAAAAAAAAAAAAGAATTAAAAGAATTACCATACGATCCAGCAATTCCACTTCTGGGTATATCCCGCAAAAAGTAAAAGCAGAGATTCAAAGAGGTATTTATACAACTATGTTCATACCAGCATTATTTCTAACAGCCAAAAGGTGGAAGCAACCCAAGTGTCCATTGATGATAAAGGAATAAACAAAACATGATACACACACACAATGGAATATTATTGAACCTCGAAAATGAAGAACACTCTGACATAAGCTACAACATAGATGAACTGTGAAAACATTATGCTAAATGAAATAAAATGGTCACACAAAAAAATACTGTATGATTCCACTTACATGAGGAGTCAAATTAAAGAGACAAGATGTAGAAAAGTGGTTGCCAAAAGGTTAGGGGGTGGGAGGAATGGAGAGTTACTGTTTAATGGGTATAGAATTTCAGTTTTAACAAAATAAAAAGAGTTCGCCAGGGGTGCAAGGCAGACCTGAGAGTGACCAGGCCAGACGGCATAGAGATGGGGCTCAAGGGACAGGTGTTGGGTGTTTGTATCTTGTATCTTGGTTTTTTGCCAGGCTAGGGGACAACCACTCATTGCGGGATGTCTTAATCATCTTAAAAAAGAACGCAGTAGCTCGTGCCTGTAATCCCCGCACTTTGGGAGGCCGAGGCAGGAGGATTGCCTGAGCTCAGGAGTTTGAGACCAGACTGTGCAACATAGCGAAACCCCATCTCTAAATTAATTAATTTTAAAAAAGAGTTCTGTGGATGGATGGTAGTGATGGTAGCATGACAACACGTACATGTGAATGTTCTTAATGCCACTGAAGTGTACACTTAAAAATGAGTAAGATGGCTGGGCATGGTGGCTCACGCCTGTAATCCCAGCACTTTGGGAGGCCGAGGCAGGTGGATTGCTTGAGGTCAAGAGTTCAAAACCACCCTGGCCAACATGGTAAAACCCTGCCTCTACCAAAAATACAAAAATTAATCAGGCTTGGTGGTGCACACCTGTAGTCCCAGCTACAGGAGGCTGAGGCAGGATAATCACTTAAACCTGGGAGGTGGAGGTTGCAATGAGCCAAGATCCCACCACTGCACTCCAGACTGGGTGACAGACTGAGACCCCGTCTTTAAAAAAAAAAAAAAAAAAACAGAGAGAGAGATAGTAAATTTTATGTTACATGTATTTTAGCACTCTTCTTTTTTTTTTTTTTTTTTTTTGAGATAGAGTCTCGCTCTGTCTCCCAGGCTGGAGTGCAGTGGCACGATCTCAGCTCACTGCAACCTCCGCTTCCCGGGTTCAAGCAATTCTCCTGTCTCAGCTTCCCCAGTAGCTGGGACTACAGGCACCTGACACCACGCCCAGCTAATTTTTGTATTTTAGTAGAGACAGGGTTTCACCTTGTTGGTCAGGCTAGTCTCAAACTCCTGACCTCAGATGATCCACCCACCTCGGCCTCCCAAAGTGCTGGGATTATAGGCGTGAGCCACCATGCCTGGTCCAAATCAAAAAAAAAAAAGTATGTCCCTTCTAGCTTCTCTATCAACCAGAAAACACCAAAATGTTTGAAAGATTAATCAGAGGTTGGCTGGGCTGGTCTCCAGCTCCTAACCGCGAGTGATCCGCCAGCCTCGGCCTCCCGAGGTGCCGGGATGGCAGACGGAGTTGCGTTCACTCAGTGCTCAATGGTGCCCAGGCTGGAGTGCAGTGGCGTGATCTCGGCTCGCTACAACCCCCACCTCCCAGCTGCCTGCCTTGGCCCCCCAAAGTGCCGAGATTGCAGCCTCTGCCCGGCCGCCACCCCGTCTGGGAAGTGAGGAGCGTCTCTGCCTGGCCGCCCATCGTCTGGGATGTGAGGAGCCTCTCAGCCTGGCTGCCCAGTCTGGAAAGTGAGGAGTGTCTCTGCCCGGCCGCCCCGTCTGAGAAGTGAGGAGACCCTCTGCCTGGCAACCGCCCCATCTGAGAAGTGAGCAGCCCCTCCGCCCGGCAGCCACACCGTCTGAGAAGTGAGGAGCCCCTCCGCCCAGCAGCCACCCCGTCTGGGAAGTGAGGAGCGTCTCTGCCCAACAGCCACCCCGTCCGGGAGGGAGGTGGGGGTCAGCCCCCCGCCTGGCCAGCCGCCCCGTCCGGAAGGGAGGTGGGGGGTCAGCCCCCCGCCCGGCCAGCCACCCCGTCCGGAAGGGAGGTGGGGGGGTCAGCCCCCCGCCCGGCCAGCCGCCCCGTCCGGGAAGGAGGTTGGGGGGTCAGCCCCCCGCCCGGCCAGCCGCCCCATCCGGGAGGGAGGTGGGGAGGTCAGCCCCCCGCCCGGCCAGCCGCCCCGTCCGGGAGGGAGGTAGGGGTGTCAGCCCCCCGCCCGGCCAGCCGCCCCGTCCGGGAGGGAGGTGGGGGGTGTCAGCCCCCCGCCCGGCCAGCCGCCCCGTCCGGGAGGGAGGTGGGGGGGTCAGCCCCCCGCCCGGCCAGCCGCCCCATCCGGGAGGTGAGGGGTGCCTCTGCCCGGCCGCCCCTACTGGGAAGTGAGGAGCCCCTCTGCCCGGCCAGCCGCCCCGTCCGGGAGGGAGGTGGGGGGGGTCAGCCCCCCGCCTGGCCAGCCACCCCATCCGGGAGGTGAGGGGCGCCTCTGCCCGGCCGCCCCTGCTGGGAAGTGAGTAGCCCCTCTGCCCGGCCACCACCCCGTCTGCGAGGTGTACTCAACAGCTCATTGAGAACAGGCCATGATGACAATGGCGGTTTTGTGGAATAGAAAGGGGGGAACAGTGGGGAAAAGATTGAGAAATCGGATGGTTGCCGTGTCTGTGTAGAAAGAGGTAGACATGGGAGACTTTTCATTTTGTTCTGTACTAAGAAAAATTCTTCTGCCTTGGGATCCTGTTGATCTGTGACCTTACCCCCAACCCTGTGCTCTCTGAAACATGTGCTGTGTCCACTCAGGGTTGAATGGATTAAGGGTGGTGCAAGATGTGCTTTGTTAAACAGATGCTTGAAGGCAGCATGCTCGTTAAGAGTCATCGCCACTCCCTAATCTCAAGTACCCAGGGACACAAACACTGCGGAAGGCCGCAGGGTCCTCTGCCTAGGAAAACCAGAGACCTTTGTTCACTTGTTTATCTGCTGACCTTCCCTCCACTATTGTCCTATGACCCTGCCAAATCCCCCTCTGCGAGAAACACCCAAGAATGATCAATAAAAAAAAATAAATAAAAAATAAATAAATAAAAAATAAAAAATAAAAAAAAAGAAAGATTATCAGAAAGTAGACTAAACAGCTTCCAGGTACAAGTGTAAGCAGATTTCTCTCGTTGTTACACTGACTCCCTTGCTGGGCCTGGGCCATAGGGACTGAGCAATCACAAAAGGTTATACAAGGCCCCAAATTATATTTGGTAGAGGTTATTTAGAGAATGAACTCTTCAAATCCTAATAATCACTACGAGAAGAAATAATGATCCCCTAAAAGAAACAAGAGGTGAAAACCAAGTAAGATAAAGTACCAAGGTTTTAAAAAAAAACCGAACCTCTTCCATTGTTTCCTCAATCTGAGCAGAAACAGGTTCAGGAGATCTGAGACCAACAGGTACAAATACTGGAGCTTTGTTTACTTCTTCGGGAGCAAGATGATAGCTTTCTTCCTCATAGTCAGACTCAAAATCGTCAGCATCATCATCTTCTTCCTGGGAAGCCCGAAGAGTCACCAGCATGGCCTTGGAAGCTCTAGGTTCCTTCTTAGAGGTCTTACCCCGAACTCGTTTTGATCCACGACCTCTGGTGACATTTGGTTTGAACTTTTTATGACTTCTCCTTTCACCACGATTTCTCTCATACTCAGATGTAGAAGAGATAGTTGTTTTCCCATCCAGGGCAATTTTAGAGTAACTTGTTTCGTTTAACGGTTGTGGACAGCTAGATATTTAATCAAAACAACAATAAGGTCATATGCATGCAAGGATAATTTTAATGAAAACCAAACTTTTAGAGTGAAATTCCAGTTCCAGTCATTAAAATGAAAATTCCCACCACCCATTCTTTTAAAATCTTATGCTGTGAAAATAAAAAAGGAATTAACTACTAGTTTCTCACTCAGAGTTAATTCTTAGTTATCTACCTACAAATTTTTCATAGTAAGTTTTTAATTCTGGACCATTCTTTCCTGTAATATGAAAGTGAAGATAAAATAAACACAAAACTGAAAATTATTAGAAGAAAAAGGGATAAAAGACACAGAACCGGCTGGGCGCAGTAGCTCACGCCTCTACTCCCAGCACTTTGGGAGGACGAGGCAGGCAGATCACTTGAGGTCAGGAGTTCAAGACCAGCCTGGCCAACATGGTGAAACCTGATCTCCACTAAAAATACAAAAATTAGCTGGGCACGGTGGTGCACGCCTGTAATCCCAGCTACTCGGGAGGATGAGGCAGGAGAATCACTTGTACCTGGGAGGTGGAGGTTGCAGTGAGCCGAGTCACGCAATTGTACTCCAGCCTGCGCGAGAAGAGTGAAACTGTCTCAAAAACAAAAAAAGACACAGGACCAATAAATACAGAATATGAGATCAAATGTGGTATTAGTTTATCCTACTGGGTAAACAGATAGGTTAAAAGAAAAAGGAGGCAGCAGAAATCCACTAGAGCAGTGCTGGTTTCTAGAACTTAAGTTTCTTTCCATTTTCTTTGAAAACTATAGAAGTAGGGTATTCTTTATTTGTGTTTGTGACTCCATTTGAATGAGCACCTTAATTACTTAGCTAATACATACATACTCCTCTTTGGTCAAGTTTCTACCCATGTCTAATGGACTCAACACCCAAAAATTTTGTTCTACCAGTAAGTTAAGGTAAAAGTTAAGTGATTTTTATTTCTTATTGTGAAACATTTTGTTAAATAAAATGTTACCTTGTTAGTTTATTGAGATATTGCTCTTCAACAACTGAAGATGGTGAATTATCTCCTACAGTTTCCTCTCCAACCCTTCTTGATGGTCCAACTTCTTCTAATTCCGCATCTATTTTTGCCAAAGCAGACTCTTTGGAACCTACACAATCTTTTCTTGCTGAAACCTCCAGAGATGTCAGAAGCTCAGCTTTTTCCTTAAATTTAAGAAGAAATTAGCTAGTATTACTACAGAAACAATCTCTATGTTAATTTGGTTTGGTAGTTTGGCCTAAACCTCTAAGTTTACACATATCTACAAGCAGTTGGTTGCTCATCTTTTACAACACTAGAAAGTCACTTTTCATGAAAATGGTTACAGTACAGAAGTCAAAACTGTATTTTACTCATGCTCTTCATGATCTTGACAAAACAGACCTCATTGAGAAAAAAAATTTTTTTTTTTTTTTTGCCCAAACTTACTTTTAGAAGGAGCTGGGTGTTGGAAGCTCCTTTCTGCAGCAAATGATCTTCTGGCTTGCCTTCCTTGCTCTGATCTGTTGTGACTTTTTCTAAAACTGGTTCCTCTTTCTTACTGTGTGCTCTTCCCAAATTTGGCTTAGCCTTTTGGAATTTCCTTCTTGTCATTTGTGCTGAACTAGGAACATACGGTTTATTTTCATGTCTAGAATGAAGTATGAATCATGTTGAAGAACAAAAATCAGAATTTCTTGTTGATATAACAGCTGTTACATCAAACAATTTTGGATACAAATCAATTCTATGTTCAAAGGACTATATATAAATTGGCAATAAAATCAAGCATGTAAAATGAAACCACACATTGCTGATATGAAAAGAACTTATAAAGCATTTATAGCTTCCATTTTCTATAGAGCCTGAAAAAGTTTTACAATAATATTAATCTTTTTAAACTTTCATTTATTCATTCTATTATATGATTTCATGCTACTTTAATTTTCAGAGAAATCACAGGATACCAAAAAAAAAAAGGCAAGTAGCTGAAGATGGATTTCATAATGGCACTTTAAACACATGCCTTCAACTGGGCCCCCAAAGCATGAACAAATATATGACAGTTATAACCAACTCGATACTTCTAGTTCTAAAGTAGACTTGAAGGGTAGAGTCTATTCTCCTAACAGATGCCTGAACTCTCACTAAAAAGGGTTTACTGACAACCAATGTCATAAGGTTCTCAATATAATCCGTCTGTATCTGCCAAATAACAAAAAGACGTTTTAGCATTCAAGAGAGTAGCCAGAGCTCCCAAGGTAACCTGAATAGCTATCTAATGGTTTCCTGGACAATATTTTAGCAACTGGCAAAGATCTGAATTAGGAAGCTTAAAAACTAATAGAGACCAGGCACGGTGGCTCACGCCTGTAATCCCAGCACTTTGGGACGCCGAGGTGGGCGGATCACCTGAGGTCGGGAGTTTGAGACCAGCCTAACCAACATGGAAAAACCCCATCTCTACCAAAAATAAAAAATTAGCTGGGCATGGTCGTGCATGCCTGAAGTCCCAGCTACTCGGGAGGCTGAGGCAAGAGAATCACTTGAACCTGGGAGGTGGAGGTTACAGTGAGGCGAAGTTGCACCACTGCACTCCAGCCTGGGCAACAAGAGCAAAACTCTGTCTCCAAAAAAAAAAAAAAAAACTAATATAAACCTGAATATTTATAAAGAATAACTGGATATATAAGTACCTATCTTGAGTTCTCTGAAAGATCTGCATTAAAAACTAATCTTTTTTTTTTTTTTTGAGACGGAGTTTCGCTCTTGTCACCCAGGCTGGAGTGCAATGGTGCGATCTCGGCTCACTGTAACCTCCGCCTCCAGGTTCAAGCGATTCTCCTGCCTCAGTCTCTCAAGTAGCTGGGATTACAGGCATGCGCCACCACGGCTGGCTAATTTTGTATTTTTAGTAGAGATGGGGTTTCTCTATGTTGGTCAGGCTGGTCTCAAACTCCCGAACTCAGGTGATTCGCCCGCCTTGGTTTCCCAGAGCGCTGGGATTACAGGTGTGAGCCACCATGCCCGGCCTTCAATGCACCCTTTCAATGAAGCTTTCTCTGGTCACTGCTGATTAAAAAGTGAATCCCCAGTCACAACACTCCCTACTCAAAACTTTATTTTTCTCTACTGATTTATCACTTATTTATTCAACTTATTTCTCATTTATAATCTGTTTCTCAATTAGAATATAAACTCCACAGTGACAGCATTTTTTTCTTCATTTATTCCTACATCATCAGCACTTAGAACAATGCCTGGCACACAGCAGACACTAAAATGTTTGTGGAATAAATGAGTATATAAGGTTATTTTCAGTGGTAAAATTCTATAATTCTTTGAGATCAAAAAGGGATTATACATAGAAAATAATCCCATAATTAGTAATTAGGAGAAGTGAATGATGTAAACAAATTCATCTGTAATGTTTCCTAGACATTATCAGAGTTAAATTGCTCTGAGATCAATCATCAACCTAATCCAATATAGCATTTGTAATATAAGTCTAATGCATTTTAGTAAAAAACATTTCAATAAAATATCCAGTTTTAAAAACTGAAAAAATGGCTAAGGGAACCTAAAATTAATGTGAAGTAAAAATTGGCCTTAATCTTAAAATAAAAGCAATATGGAAAGACTTTTCAATGCATAGCACAGGGAACAATCAACAAAGTGAAGAGACAACCTACAGAATGGGAGAAAAAATTCCCAACTATCCATCTCACAAAAGTTAATAACCAGAATATATAAGGAACAAAAACAACTCAATAGCAAAAAAACAAATAATCTGATTAAAGAATAGGCAAAAGAGAACAGACAGTTCTCAAAAGACATACAAATGGCCAACAGGTGTCTGACAAAATGTTCAACATCATTAATCATCACGGAAACGCAAATCAAAACTGCACTGAGATATCCTACTGCCGTTAAAATGGCTACTGTTAAAAAGACAAAAAATTACAAATACTGGTCAGGATGTGGAGAAATGGGAAAACTCATAGGCTGTTCGTGGGAATATAAAGTAGGAATGCCATTATGGAAAAAAGTATGAAAGTTCCTCAAAAAACTAAAAATAGAACTACCATTTGATTGAGCCATCCTACTGCCAGGTGTATGTCCAAAAGAAAGGAAATCACTGTATCAAAGAGATATCTGAACTCTCATGTTTACTGCAGTGGTATTCACAATAGCCAACACATAATATCAACCTAAGTGTCCAGCAACAAATGAATAAAGAAAGTGAGAAAGTGTGGTATATATACACAATGGAATATTATTTAACCATAAAAAAGAATGAAATCCTGTCATTCACAGTGACATAGATGGAACTAGAGGTCATTATGTTAGGTGAAATAAGCCAGGCACAGAAAGACAAATATTGCTGGTTCTCACTCATATGTAGCAGCTTAAAAAGTGGATCTCATGGAGGTAGGGATTAGAATGGTGCTCACCAGAGGCTAGGAAGGCAAGAGGGAAGGGAGTAATGAGAAGCTGGTTAGTGTGTATAAAAATACAGTTAGATAGAAGGAATAAGTTCTGGTATTCAGTAGTACAGTAGGAAAAATTATAGTTAACAATCATTTATTGTATTATTTCAAAATAGCTAGAAAATTATGTTGCCAATATAAAGATAAAAGTATGAAGTGATGGATATCCCAGTTACTCTGATCTGGTAATTATATATTGTGTATAATGTATCAAAATATCACATGTAGTCCAAAAATATGTATAACTATTATATATCAAAAAAAAATTTAAGGCTTTTTAAGACAAAAAGCAGGGGGAGGGGCTGTAATATTGAAAACAAAAGTAATCCAGGTTGGGCGCAGTGGCTCATGCCTGTAATCCCAGCACTTTGGGAGGCTGAGGTGGGTGGATCACCTGAGGTCAGGAGTTCGAGACCAGGTTGGCCAACATGGTGAAACCCCATCTCTACTAAAAATACAAAAATTAGTAGGGTGTGGTGGTGGGTGCCTGCAATCCCAACTACTCGGGAGGCTGAAGCACAAGAATCACTTGAATCCAGGAGGCGAAGGTTGCAATGAGCCACGATCAAGCCACTGCACTCTGAGACTCTGTCTCCAAAAAAAAAAAAAAAAAAGTAATCCATACTAAAATAAAAACTTCACATTAGAAACTCGTCTAAATGAAAGCAAACTGCTTCAAGCATCTAAAATTAACAGAGGTCGGGCACGGTGGCTCACCATGTAATCCCAAGATTTTGGGAGGCCGAGATGGGCGGTTCACTTGAGCTCAGGAGTTCAGGACCAGCCTGGGCAACATGGTGAAACCCCATCTCTACAAAAAGATACAAAAATATTAGCCAGGCATGATGGTGTGCACCTGTGGTCCCAGCTACTCGAGAGGTTGAGGTGGGAGAATTGCTTGAGCCCAGGAAGTTGAGGCTGCAGTGAGCTGTGACTGCGCCACTGCACTCCATCCTGGGCGACACAGTGAGACACCTTGTCTCAAAAAGTAAATATAATAAAAAGAAAATATAAATCAATAGCACCTGTTTTGACAGATGACCTAACATGCCCAAATTCTAGCTTCACCTAACTAGAGAGGGTTAAAAAAGGATACAATAACATCTCCTCTGCATTTCCCAGAAAGCCAAAGTCACTCTACCTAATTAAAGGAAGCTGAAATATTTAAAGTATATTCATAAGTGCTGAAAACATCCTGGAGGAAAATTAATAAATACTTCACTAAAACATGTTCTAGTTACTAAGACAGTAAGTTAGATGGACCAAGAACTATATACAGAAAGGAAAGGCGTTTTTACTAAAGAAAAGAACACATCTTGCTTTAATAATAAGAAGGCAGATAGCAAGTAATAAATAAAAGTGGTAATGTTAAAACTTCTTCACCCTACTAGCTCATCTCAATTAAAAGATATCATTCTTACCATTTGGCTTCGATGTAGTTACCTCTAAATATAGTATACTGTTAAGTATACTTTATAGCACTACCTATTAATGAATTTTAGTCAGTAGGTTATAAACTTCTTTTCTTTTTTTTATTTGTTATTTTTATAGAGACGAGGTCTCACTATGTTGCCCAGGCTGGTCTTGAACTCCTGGACTCAAGCGATCCTCTCGTCTTGGCTTCCCAAAGTGCTGGGAGATTACAGGCGTGAACCACTGCGCCTGGCCTAAATTTCTAAAAAAGATACAGAGAACTTAAGAATCTTTGTCTACTATTAAAAATTTAGTTTTGGTACCAAAAAGTAGGATGCTTGTCAAACTTTTCAGAGAAATTACATATACTTAAGGGAATATCATATACTTAAGAGAATATCAGCCATGCAATTCATACAGTATTCGAGAAGCAGATTTAAAAGACTCTAGTATCACAAGTATTTATTACTTTATCCTTTTAACATTTTCAGGATGTGAAGTTATTAATATATAAAGTCAACTATGCAAAAATATAACTTTTATCTTTGAAAAGTCTTATTTTTTCTCATTAAAAGCAAACTCACCTGATTGTTTCATTTGTTTTGTTAACATGAAGGTTTTCTACAAGAACCACCTGACTTTGATTTTCATACATTCTGTGTTCTGGAACTGCGGACGATGGAACTTCAATTTCAGTTTCAATTTGAGAATTTGACTGAAAAGACAAAATCATATTAGTATGTTATTTTTATAGCAGAATATACCTCTTAAAATATTTCCACCATTAAGATATTTAGTTTTTTAAAATCCCTTTTCTTTTTTAAATTTTTATTTATGCATTTTGAGATAGTCTCATCATACTGCCCAGGCTAGTCTCAAAGTCCTAGGCTCAAACGATCCTCCTTCCTCAGCCTCCTGAGTAACTGGGATTACAGGCAGATACCACCATGGGTGGTTAATTCTTTAAAATTAGATTCAAACTGGATATGTAATGTTCACATTCTGTTGCCAAAAACAAGGATGCCTAGTTCAGAGAAAAGTTTCAAAGATTATTGCAGTAATATGTTTACATAATACTTTGAAAACTATAATAGTCACCTGCTATGAAATTAAAAATAAACAAAGTTTAATTTTTTTTTTTAAGAAAGAGCTTTTTGGTTCAAATAAAGATTATTTTAAATCTAGACTTTGCATTGTTTAACAGAAAAATAAGAACTACCTAAAATGAACATTTTTAGACATTACACTACTTAGACTTTTTCCCTAATACCAAAAGACCCATTAATAAGAGATTAAACTGTTACTCAAAACAGCATGTTATACAGCAAAAATGATGTAACTAACATATTTCTTGATCCAGAAAGCCACTTAACATAGTATTCAGTGAATAACAGAAAGTTATAGTACGTAATGACTTTATTGTTTAAATTTGCATAAGTGTGCACATAATGTGTGCATGGAAATAAATCCAGTAAGATATGTCAAAAGGTTTTCAGTGGTTATCTCAGAGTAAGATTTGCGGTATTTATATTATTTTGTCCTAATGGAACATTTTACGATGAATAGCTTCATTAATTAGAAAAGAAATAAATCTATTTTCACTTAAAAAAAAAATCCAGAAGAGCAAATCTGAAACAAAACTGGAAACTGTATTCATTGAGTAGAATAAGTGTCAGATGCCTGTATTTCTAAGCTATGTCTGAGCTATAACTTGACATTTTAAATGCATTAAAAGGCTAAATTTAATTACATAACAATAACTCACCACAGTTAAGACTTTCTTTTCAGTTTCATCTTTTGGTAATATCGTTCTTCCTTCCTTAATTATGCCTTTGGCTTCACCTTTGTCTACTATTTGCCTCTGTCCTGTCTTTCTTATATTTGGTCTCGGTCTCTGAAGTCGGCCCCTTACTTGTCGAGCAGTTTGGATAACACTTTCCTTCATTTCTTGCTGGAAAGTGTTTACATTATTAGTCCTAAACAAGGGGACAGGGAGAAAGGCAGGGCGCTTGACTGTAAAAAGCTGAAAACTAATGTAAAAATGTAAAATTTGGATCTCCTCTAATAAACACTCTAAAAAATACTTTGTACCATTAAAGGGAAATTGCTTTCTGATTATAAACATCTTATTTTACAAAAGAAAACAGTTATGTCAATTCTTAAAAGGTAATAAACTTATATAATATGCCTAAAGTAGCTAAATATACAGATAGAATGGTGGTTGCCAGGAGCTGGAAGAGGAGGAGAATGAGTTAGTATTTAATGGGTAGAGAGTTTCATTTTATGAAGATGAAAAAGAAAGTCTAGAGATGAATGGTGGTGGCAACGGGACAACAATGTGAATACACTTAATGCCACTGTATATTAAAAAA
This sequence comes from Homo sapiens, assembly GCF_000001405.40. Taxonomy (NCBI): domain Eukaryota; kingdom Metazoa; phylum Chordata; class Mammalia; order Primates; family Hominidae; genus Homo; species Homo sapiens. The sequence goes on along the minus strand of NW_025791777.1, from coordinate 2,002,806 downwards.
TAGTTAAAATGGTAAATTTTATCTTATGTGTATACTAATTTTTAAAAGTTAATGAATATATATAGCTTATATACATATAAGCTGAGTAGCCCTATCCAAAATGCTTAGGACCAGAAATGTTTCAGATTTCAGATTTTTTTAGATTTGGAAATATTTGCATTATACTTATCAGTTGAGCATCCCTACTTTGAAAATCCAAAATGCTCCACTGAGCATTTCTTGAGCATCATGTCAGCTCTCAAAAAGTTTTAAATTGTGGCACATTTCAGAATTTTTTATTAGGGATGCTCAACTTGTAGTTTTTAAATGCATTGCTTTGTATACACTCTTACGCAGCTGACAATGCAGATAAGCAGGCAACCATTAGAAGGTGTTGAATTCAATCTGATATTATATTTTAGGCAGTCTGCTGTATCAATAAAATTAAACCAATATTCTTTATGTTCACTTTTTAAATGCATTAACATATCTCAATAAAAATTAGAAATATTTAAAAGAAGTATCTCTCTTATTTTATATTGTCAAAGAAAATCACTGTTTACCCCACAGAAACAACTGAGTCATTTTTCTGGACTGGTGCTGACTGAGACTCCTCTTTAGGTTCACAAGAATTTGAAGGTGAAAGGTTCCTTTCAGTCTGTGTACATGGCAATATCACAGCCTCCTCATTCCTGTGACCTAATGTGTCTTTTTCTCTTGATATCATTAGGGAAGCTTCATCCTAGAAGACAGAAAAAAAATTTCATTCACAGTTGCTAAAAGTATAAGGAAATAAGAACTTTACAAGTATAAACTGATATCATCTTCGTGAAGAATAATAGGGTAGTCTATACCAAAATTCTAAATTCCCAGCAATTCCACTTCTAGAAATGTATCTTATAAATACTCAACAAGTAGAAATATACACACAAAAATATTTATTGTAACAATTTAAGCACCACCTCCCTCACCGGAAAAGACAAACAAAAAAATCAGAAATAAAACAGATATATCATTAGGGGATGGAATAAATAAATTTTAATTTCTTTACAATGCAATAGTACCTAATCATTTAAAAGAAGATATATCTCTTTGTACTGATCTAAAAAGAAGCTCACAATACTGTAAGTGGAAAAATCAGAAAGCAAGAATTAATGTCATTTTGGAAAACAATAAAAATACCTTCCCATTTTATCATTTTATAACTGTAAGACGAAAAAGTGTAAGTGGATATATTCAAAATTGCTGTATGATTAACTTGGGGGAAAGGGACGTGACATTATAAAAGACTCTCACTTTTTAGAATACATATATTTTTCCAAATTAAAATTTCTATAATCAGAAAGTATAATACAAATGTAACTTATCTTTTATGAATATAAGCTTAGGAGAAATAGTACAAATGTTGATGCACAGTAAAGTACTGAGCTATTTTAAGACATCAAATAAGAATTTTAATTCTAAGAAGGACTTCCACTGAATGTGGAAAACATTCAGTTTATAATTATTCATTTCGTTTCAATGTTTTTTTGATGGTATGTCACACAATCTTAATCTGTTATGGACCAAGTTAATAAAGTAAATAAAATATCACCTTTAACTCAAATCAAGCTTTTAACTCTTCATTTCACCTTCACAAGAGAGTGAAATAAAAAACGATTATTCTCGCTGGGCGCCACGGCTCAGCGTAATCCCAGCACTTTGGGAGGCCAAAGCAGGCAGATCACGAGGTTAGGAGTTCGAGATCAGCCTGGCTAACATAGTGAAACCCCATCTCTACTAAAAATACAAAAAAAAAAATTAGCCGGACATGGCAGCACGCGCCTGTAGTCCCAGCATTCAGGAGGCTGAGGCAGGAGAATCGCTTGAACCTGGGAGGTGGAAGTTGCAGTGAGCCGAGATCGCGCCACTGCACTCCAGCCTGGGAACAGAGTGAGACTTCATCTCAAAAAAATAAAAATAAAAAAAATAAAAAACTATTATTGTCATTTTTTCTATGAAGAAAATTGTTTAATCAATGGTCACATAGCTGGAACTGGAACCAGAGCCCAGACCTGAACGCTTTCCCACAACACGTTTGCCCATTATCAGATATCTGAGATTCTTACACAAATTATGTGGAACAATGAGGCACATTAAGCATGGGAGCAATATCACATGCAGCAAAAATTACACAGAAATATTTGTAGAATTTTAATGCCAGGTGCTTTTAGTAGTCCTAATAACTTAAAAAAAAAAAAAAACACCCACACAGAACTTCCATCTCAAATACACTCACATGTTGAGAAGGGAGAGTATCAGTTTGTTCATTATTTTCTTGCATCACAATAGTCTCCATTTTCTTGGTTTCTGATTTCTTCTCATATATATATTTTTCTGATTCTGTAGTCTCTCTCTTCAAAGCTGCTCTTGCTAAGTTTGGTTTTGGTCTTTTGAATCGGCTCCTCACAAAAGGTGCTGGTTTAATTTCAAGTGGCTTCTGTTCTTGAGGAAGAGATTTGCTTTTGGAACAAGGATTATCAAGCTTTAGAATGAACTGAAGGGGCAGTGGAAACGGAGTCTCAGTACAACCTTAGAGACTGGCGGTAAACATTTAATTTTTTTTTTTTTTTTTTTTTTTTTGGAGACAGGGTCTTGTTCTATCCCCCAGGCTGGAGTGCAATGACACAATCATAGCTCACTGCAGCCTTGACCTCCGCGGGCTCAAGTGATCTTCCCATCTGAGCCTCCCAAGTAGCTGGGACTACAGGCATGTGCCACCACACCCAGCTAGTTTTTGTTTTTTTATTTTATAGAGATGGGGTTTCTACAGCGTGTTGCCCAGGCTGGTCTCAAACTCCTAGGCTCAAAGGATCCACCCACCTCAGCCTCCCAAATTGCTAGGATTACAGGTGTGAGCCACCATACTTGGCCTAATTCTAATTCTTAACAGGAAAACAAATCGAACTATCTGGCAGATCCTGAAAACCATGAGTGGTACAATCCAGGTATGAGCCTAGGAATTACACCATCTCTGCACAAAGAAAATATGAGTCTATCAAACCTGTATTGATTTAAGACTGTTACATACAATTTTGTATGTCAGTAACTTTCACAATTGACTGTCAGAGTGACCTCAATCCTCTCTCCCAGTCTTCCCAAAACTATCTTAAAAGCTCTAACACTATCCTGTATATGTTATATCTTGAAACCTCACTTAGTTTAACGTAATCTGCAACTATAACTTAATATCTTTTTCTTTAAAAACACACTTGTACCTTAAATTAATATCTGAAAACTGCTCTGGAACATCTGGAGATTGAATCCCCTGGACTTCTGTTTTATCAGATTCATGAGTCTGTGAAGAAATCTTGAAATGACTGAAGTGACTTGATACTTCTTTTTCAGAATTTCTTTTTTCTTCTACAGGTGTATGCATCATCGACAGTACTTCACTGCTAATGTTCTAGAGGAACAGTCATAGTAAATCAGCACAAATAAAAGAGTATTTAAACATCTTATATATTTAAAACAAAAGTCTACTAAATTCTAAACACTTTCCTTTAAAACTTTAGAAGTTTTTAATTTTTGAATAAAATTTAATTTCCAAATGTTAAAACTTGGAATTCAGGAAACCCTTTTATGTTGCATATTATTACTTTCCCAAACCACAAATGTCATTATCTATTTTTAAAAGTTAGAAAAAAAAAAAAGTCCTTGAAAATGTTAGAAGATCATGAACTTCAAAGTAACTTGAAAAAACAAAAAGAACTTTTAGAAGTGAAGTAAGTCAGGTGGGGCAAGAAACAAAAGCAGATACAGATGTGGCCAAAAGAAATAATGTGTGTTCACGCTAGGGTTAGTACAAATTCAGTCTAATTTCCTATTCTTCTTTTACCTAAAAGAGTAACTTCAAATGATATTAAGAACAGTGACATTTTTGAGATCTCAAACCTAAGCCAAAAGAAAAGTTTGATCCTTGCCCATCTGACTTAAAGAAAAAAAATAATAATAATAACAGTGACTTTTTCACAGTTGGAAATTATTTTTATTTCTTTTTGAGACAGGGTCTCACTCTGTCACCCAGGGTGGAGTACAATGGCACAATCACAGCTCACTGCAGCCTCAACCTCCAGGGTTCAAGTGATCCTCTCACCTCAGCCTCCCAAGTAGCTGGGACTACAGGCTTACACCTTGTTATTGTATTTTATTTTTTATTTATTTTATTTATTTTTATTTTATCTTATTTTTTGTAGAGACAAGGTCTCTCTATGTTGCCCAGGCTGGTCTCAAACTCCTGGGCTCAAGTAATCCTTCCACCTTGGCCTCCCAAAGTGTTGGGTTTAAAGGTGTGCCCAGCCTAAAGTTATCTTTTTAAAAAAGAACATACAGTTTCTTCAAGGCACTGAAACATAGAAACTTAGGGCTACAAAAGACTTTAGACTTTTAGAGATTTTTAAGTGTTGTTGGACTTAAGGACAAAATAATCATGGAATTATTTATTTCCTCTGAAAAAAGCATTCAAAAAACTTTTAAAGGACAGAAAAATACATACCTGAATATCTAGTGAAGGCACAGCACTGAAGTCATTGCTACCGCTCTGCATTAAATGTGTGTCAGTTTGTCTTGAGGTACTGGTCTCCTCTAGCTCGTTTTCCCTTGGAGAAATGTCTGTTTTTCCAGTTTGTTTCAATTCTGCCACCTTTTCCTCAGTAACACAGATCTCTTCAGATCCTCTCTCTCTAAAATTTTCTTTTCCAGTTTCTTTCAAATCTGCCTCCATTTCTTCAACAACAGCCATCTTTCCTGATACTTTCTCCATGATGGGAATGTCTCTTTTTCCAGTTTCTTTCAAATCAATCTCCTTTTCCCTTATAGCACTGAACTCTGCTAGCACCTTTTCCCTTTGGGAAATTTCTTCTCTAATTTCTTTCAAATCTGTCTCCATTTTACCTACAGGCTTGACCTCCTCTGGGCCATTTTCCTGTGGCGATATTTCTCTTTCAGTTTCTTCCAAATCTGTCTCTATTACCTCAGCAGCATCAATCACCTCTCGTGTCTTCTCCCTTGAGGAACCCTCTCTTCCAGTTGTTTTCAAGTCTGTCTCCATTTCATCTACAGGCTTGACCTCCTCTGGGCCATTTTCCTCTGGGGATATTTCTCTTCTTCCAGTTTCTTCCAGATCTTTGTCTATTTCCTCAGTGGCATCAATCACCTCTGGTGTCTTCTCCCTTGGGGAAATCTCCCTTCCGGTTGCTTTCAAATCTGTTTGCATTTCACCTAGAGGCTTAACCTCCTCTAGGCCATTTTCCTGTGGGGATATTTCTCTTTCAGTTTCTTCCAAATCTATCTCTATTTCCTCAATGGCATCAATCACCTCTGGTGTCTTCCCCCTTGGGAAACTGTCTCTTCCAGTTGCTTTCAAATCCGTCTCCATTTCACCTAGAGGCTTGACCTCCTCTAGTCCATTTTCCTGTGGGGATACTTCTCTTTCAGTTTCTTCCAAATCTATTTCCTCAGTAGCATCAATCACCTCTGGTGTCTTCTCCCTTGGAGAACTCTCTCTTCCAGTTGCGTTCAAATCTGTCTCCATTTCATCTACAGGCTTGACCTCCTCTGGGCCATTTTCCCTTGGGGATATTTTTCTTCTTCCAGTTTCTTCCAAATTTTTGTCTATTTCCTCAGTGGCATCAGTCACCTCTGGTGTCTTCTCCCTTGGGGAACTCTCATTTCCAGTTGCTTTCAAATCTGTCTCCACTTCACCTAGAGGCTTAACCTCCTCTGGGCCATTTTTCTGTGGGGATATTTCTCTTCTTCCAGCTTCTTCCAAATCTTTGTCTATTTCCTCAGTGGCATCAATCACCTCTGGCGTCTTCTCCCTTAGACAAATCTCTCTTCCCATTGCTTTCAGACCTGTCTCCATTTCTATGGTGTCATCAATCACATCTAGAATCTTCTCCCTGGGAGAAATGGCTCTTCTTCCAGTTTCTTTTAAATCTGACTGCATTTCTTTAGTATTAATCTCTGCTGGTACCATCTCCTTTGGTGAGGTGTCTAGTCTTACAGTTTCTCTCAATGCTGCCGCCATTTCCCCAGAGACAAGAATCTTCTCTAGTACCTCTTCCTTTGAGGAAATTTCTCTCCTTCCAGTTCCTCTTCCTATATTTGGCTTTGGTTTCTGAAATCGAGTCCTTAGAATTGGGACTTGGTTAAGTTTATTTGCCTTATTATTCTCTTGAACGCTATAAAAAAAAAAGGGGGCACACAATCAAGTTTTAAACCAGACTGCCTGCTGAAGAGATGATGTTTGAGAAATCACTACAGAAACACCAGAAACTCTCAAATTCAAAAAAATTAAGGAAGGCCTAGGAATCGCTGGGTAAAATTTAAAAATTAAAAGAAAAAAAATCCCACCTTTTGAAATCACAGCAATAAGTTTAAATATATATATATATCTAGTAAGGTCAATCAGTATAGAAGCTATTTGATCCTAACAGTGTCTTTCCAATTGTCATTCACACTACCATTTATAAATACTGACTGGGAAAGACTCTCCAGTTCTCTGCATTGGAGCTAGATTGATGTATGTCTGCTATTTCTACCTCTTCATCCCTTCTATCTTTTATACAGACAAATGGTTTGCCATAATAGACCTGACCACCTCAAATACCTGGATACAAGTATGACTTGACCAAGATTAAATCTTAGGACTACAAATGAGGTCTGCCCTCCTCACCTTTTAAAACCAATTTTATATGAGATTTCCTATACAGATAGTTCTCTAAAGGCTTGTTATTTCATAACATAAGTAAAGAATCAAAGGACAGACCAAATACACAATAATACTTTGCTGAATGCTACTGGGCACACAACCACTATCCAAAGCAAGCACCTTGCTCTCCAGAAAAGCAGCAGCACTTTTTGTTTTGCTTTCTGTTTATTATAATAGATGGTAAAATCAATAAACATATAAATGAATGAAAGGGCTTTTAAATGACTGGTTAGGAAAAGTTATTAATATTGGGCAAAAGCTAGATCAAATGAAACACTAGATTGTATTCGGCCATGTCGGACTGAACAGGTATATAACTATACATTCAACAGCTTAAAAAAAGACGTATTGAGCTGGGCATGATGCTTCATGCCTGTACTCCTAGCACTTCAGGAGGCTGAAGCAGATGGCTTGAGCCCATGAGTTTTTGGTAGAAATCCCATCTCTACAAAAAAAAAAAAAATTAGTCAAGTGAGGTGGCGTGCACCTGTAGTCCCAGCTATTCAGGAGGCTGAGGTGGGAGGATCACCTGAGCCCAGGAAGGATGAGGCTGCAGTAAGCCATGATCATGCCACTGCACTCCAGATTGGGCAAGAGAGCAAGATCCCATCTCAAAACAAACAAACAAAAAACAAAACAAATAAGCAAAAGATTTACTTAAAAGTATGCTAGGCTGGGCATGGTGGCTCAGCCTGTAATCCCAGCATTTTGGAAGGCTGAGACAGGTGGATCACTTAAGGTCAAGAGTTTGAGACCAGCCTGGCCAACATGATGAAACCCTGTCTCTACTCAAAATACAAAAATTAGCAGGGCGTGGTGGCACGCGCCTGTAATCTCAGCTACATGGGAGGCTAAAGCAGGAAAATAGCTGGAACCCAGGGGGCGGAGGTTGCAGTGAGCCAAGATCATGCCACTGCACTCCACCTGGGCAACAGAGTAAGACTCTGTCTCAAACAGAAACAAAAACAAAACAACAAAAGTATGCTATTGCTTGTTTCAACTTCTTTAGGTCCTATACTATCCTTCCTCACTGAAATAACTGTTTTCAATAATGCAATTTTTGATACTGTAAGACAGGTCCTTAGGAATAAGATTGCTTTTCAAATTGTACTTGTTTACATAACTGAAGTGTTTATATCCATCATTAACTTTAGCAATTGACAACGTTAAATGTAAAATTAACAGCAATCAATAAAGGAAATTTAATTTGATTAGTCCTGAATGGACCGCATTCCATTTTTTGATTTATGATACTTTTCATCTCCATCCAGAAACATCTAGCTTTTAGTGAGATTACTGTGCTAGCAATCTTGGTTTGGGTACCATGGGAAGAGATAAAATAAACTATCTTTATAAAGTCACATTTTGAAAACAGGCGTATTATTTAAACATATAAATGCTTGAAGCAAAGGCTTTATTAATAATTTCATTATTTCCATAACAGTTCAGATTGTAAGATACAGATATGCAATGTTATAATTATATTCTATGTGCTTAGATTTTTTAAACTGCCATTCCACCAAAGCAATAGATTGATTGTTTCTAAGTAACAAAAGAAGTACAGAATTAACTGAAGGGCAGTATCTGAGACTGGATATCAGATATAAAATTGAACTAGATTATTTCTCAACTTAAAATATACAGTGGATCTACGAACTTTCCTCAGATCACAAATTTGAGAAGAAAGGCAAAACAAGAGGATCATGAATGGAGAAAATAAGGTATGGAATGAGCACAAAACTATAAATGTGCTTTAAGGTCTGCATATGTGTTTTTCTAAAACACGGAGTTTAAGAATCTATAAAATATTCATGGCCAGGCGTGGTGGCTCACACCTATAATCCCAGCACTTTGGGAGGCCAAGGAAGGAGGATCCCTTCAGCCCAGGAGTTCAAGACCAGCCTGGGCAACATGGCGAAACCCTGTCTCTACAAAAAAATTTAAAAATTAGCCAGATGTGGTGGCATGCACCTGTAGTCCCAGCTACTTGGGAGGCTGAGGCAAGAGGATCAATTGAGCCCAAAAGGTGAATGCTGCAGTAAGCCATGATCACACCACTGCACTCCAGCCTGGGTGACAGAGCAAGACCCTTGTCTTTAAAAAAATATGGGTGTGTGTGTGTGTGTGTGTGTGTGTGTGTGTGTGTGTTTCAAATATATATATATATATATATATAAACCTCCAAACAAACATCACCAAATCACCAATCATGACAAAAAACTTAAAATATTTATATGAAGTAGGTAAGATGCAAAATTAACCTAGAAGATTAAATTTCAAAGAAATACTCACTAGTTTATCTAATAAAGTACCTTTTCTTTAATAGAGATGGGTCTTGCTATGTTGTCCAGGCTTGTCTTGAGTTCCTGGCCTCAAGTGATCCTCCTGTCTCAGCCTCCCAAAGTGCTGGGATTATAGGTGTGAGTCACCATGCCCAGCCTAAAGAATTTTTAATGCATTCTTTGAGAGACTATTTTCCTACTATCTCTCTTACATAGCATCTTGAACAGGCCAACATATGTGGAGTAGGAGAGGGGGAAAACTTTCTGTTAGACATAGGTGTATAATTTGATAAAACACAGAATCTTAGAATTGCTTTTGAGGATTCTGGAGATTCAAAGGCTAGAAAGGTCACATGACAAAGCAAAAATGACACTGCCCATGGAGAGGAAAGTTGTTGAGATCAGATTGAGTATTAGTTACAGTGTCCACCAGTGTTCTAAAACCCAGAGGCCATTCAGAAAAGTTTAATTTTCTACCAAGCCACAGTATCTATTAATAGACTCTAGTTTAAACTGAAAAAATATAAATAAAAAGAATAATTTGTTAGCTAACTGTAATTAAAATCCATATCAGAGATATGCAGCAAGCAATGTAGTCATACAAACTTCTACCTAGAGACTGTGTGCACATTAGTAAAATAATCCGGGCAGTGGGGAGGAATAAGAAGCAAAGGAATAGTGAAGGCAACAAGAAATAGAGAAATTTTTTTGTCTTCCAATGAAGATCTTTAAAGTAGTTCAGGAAACCTAGCTTTCACTCTCAGGTTAGGTACTTTTCTTTTTTGGAGGGACAGGAGTCTGTCTCACTTTGTTGCCCTGGCTGGAGTAAAGTGGCCCATTCATAGCTCCCTGCAGCTTCTAATTCCTGGGCTCAAGCAATCCTCTTCCTTCAGCCTTCCATGTAGCTAGATAGGCATGAGCCACCATGCCCAGCTAGGTACTATTTAAATAGGCTAATACAGCTGTAAGAAAGTATAGCATAGGCTAGCCTTTAAACGTAAAGACTGGTAAATATTAATTACTGAAACTGGACAGCAGGTATATGGGAGTCCACTACTGCACTTTTGCGCACATTAAACATTTCCAAGTTGAAAAGTTGAAATAGTATACCAGTAATTCCATCAGTCTGGCTTGGTACCCTCCAAGGAAGAAATAAAAAATAGAAAAGACTTTGACTATAAGCAGTATGGGTTTCTATACATAAGTTTTAAATAAAATTTATAAATCTTAAATAAAGGCAATATGTGCTCAATCTAATTCCAAAGAAACAAATATTTTAAAAATAAGTAGCATTTTACATTTGAACATAAACATATATTTCAATATGCATGTTAAGTGATAAAGCTGGCTGGGTGTGATGGCTCACACCTGTAATCCCACCACTTTAGGAGGCCGAGACAGGTGGATCACTTGAGGTCAGGAGTTCGAGACCAGCCTGGCCAACATGGTAAAACCCTGTTTCTACTAAAAATACAAAAATTAGCTGGGCTTGGTGGCAGGCACCTGTAATCCCAGCTACTCGGGAGGCTGAGGCAGGAGAATTGTTTGAACCTGGGAAGCAGTGGTTGCAGTGAGCTGAGATTATACTCCAGCCCAGGCAAGAAGAGTGAAACTCCGTCTCAAAAAATAAAAAGTAAAATAAAATAAAATAAAGTGATAAGGCTATTCATGTTAACTCAAGTACTAATTTACGATGAGTAGCTTTCTTCAAACCATCTGAGAAATTCACATAAAGGCTACAACATAAACTTTCTTGAAAGGTGAAGTTATATTTTTAAACACTACATAACTAGACACGCAGACAACAAATCCATCTAAATTGCTTCTGCTTTAAAAAACTGATTGAGTTCTAAAACTTTTTACAAAATCCAAAGATTATATATCAACAAAATGATGCTTACCTTAGACATTCATTAAGAACCTTGGGCTCATCTGGCTGCACATTTTGAAAAGAATCATTTTTCTCAGGCTGTAATATGACATCTTCCTCTTCAAAATCTTTACGCGATTGATCTTCCATGTGTTGAGGAGTCTTAAAAACAAACAAATTTTTCTAATGTTTTAGGTTTCACAATGAGGCATAACAGATTTCATTGAAAATGTCCAATTTAAGTATAAAATGGTAAAAAATTCAACATTATAAAATGGAGACTTTAAAATACTTTTAATGTTTTTTCTTTAGCTATCTTAGAAAATTTCATGAGTTACTCCTTTTAGGATATCTCAAAGCCCCATTCTTTTCCTCCCAATCAAAAAACAAGTAACTGCCTTGGTTTCATCTGTTAGAAATACCCCTGTGGGGTCTATCTTTCTGAATTCTTTTGATTACTATAAATGCATTATAGATCACGGGAATTTTTTTTTCTTTTTTTTTTTTTTTGAGACGGAGTCTTGCTCGGTCGCCCAGGCTGGAGTGCAGTGGTATGATCTCGGCTCACTGCAAGCTCTGCCTCCCAGGTTCATGCCATTCTCCTGCCTCAGCCTCCCGAGTAGCTAGGACTACAGGCGTCCACCACCACACCCAGCTAACGTTTTTGTATTTTTAGTAGAGAAGGGGTTTCACCGTGTTAGCCAGGATGGTCTCAATCTCCTGACCTCGTGATCCGCCCACCTCGGCCTCCCAGAGTGCTAGGATTACAGGCATGAGCCACTGCGCCTGGTCAGAATTTTTTTTTTTTAAGACAGGGTCTCACTCTGTCACCCACGCTAGAGTGCAACGGCATAATTATAGATAGCTCACTGGAGGCTTGAACTCCTGGGCTCAATTGATCCTCCTGCCTCAGCCTCCCAAGTAGCTGGGACTATAGGAGCACACCACCAAGCCCAGCTAATTAAAAAAATTTTTGTTTGTAGAGACAGAGTGTCACTATGTTGCCCAGACTGGTCTCAGACACCTGGCCTCAAGCAATCCTCTCACCTCGGCCTCCCAAAATGCTGGGATTTCAGGCATGAGTCACCATGCCTGGCCTAGAGACCATGGGAATTATAAGAAATTGAAATCTCAAAACATGACAACTTTTATCTTTATCACAAAGGCTATGTAAATAATCTAAAATTCACAGTCTTTGTTCTTGGAATTGTATCTTACTAGGGAGCTTTTAACACTTTATGCTGTTTAAGCCAATGTTAAAACTCACATATGTACTTATTTCTTCAAAACAAAAGATTAATTCAAACATCCACTAAGTGATACGGAAAAGCAACTCCAAATATGAGGTCAGGTGAAACAGATTATCTATCATGTAAATGCCCAAAATCTAAAATGGCTTTACAACTAGCAAAGCTGCTGGCTATGAGATTTTGACCAAAAATGTAATAAATGATGCACACAAATTGTGCAGTACTGTTTTGAAAAGGGGGTAAAGGGGTTGGGCACAGTGGCTCATGCCTGTAATCCTAGCACTTTGGGAGGCCAAGGCGGGTGGATCACCTGAGGTCAGGAGTTTGAGACCAGCCTGGCCAATATGGCAAAACACTGTCTCTACTAAAAATACAAAAATTAGCCAGGCGTGGTGGTGTGAGCCTGCAGTCGCACAACTAAAAATACAAAAACATTATAGATCATGTGAATTTTTTTTTTTTTTTTTTGAGACAGAGTCTTGCTCTGTCGCCTAGGCTGGAGTGCGGTGGCACGATCTCAGGTGGCTGAGGCAGGAGAATCACTTGAACCTGGGTGGCAGAGGTTGCAGTGAGGCAAGATCGCGACACTGCATTCCAGCCTGGGCGACAGAGCAAGACTCCGTCATAAATAAATAAATAAATGTATGTATGTATGTATGTAAGTATGTGGGTGAAGGGAAGCTTATATTAAGGCTCATGTACTTGCTTACCAAAAATGTGAGGAGGAATCAGAGTACTTACATCTCTATCAGCACAGGATTCATTTTCATTCTTCTCTACATTGGCCCCAATTTCTTCCTGTGATATGAGAATTTCTTTTCTTTCAGCAGCTTTACCTGCATTTGGCTTTGGCTTTTGCAATCGGCCCCTCACTTGTACAGGTCTTAAAGCCTTTAGTTGACTCCCTTCCTGCAGACAATTTTTTTCACCCAAACTAGAACCACAAAGAAATAAAATTAATGTTTATTTTGAAGTCACCAATTTCCTTCTCCCTGGCATGAATAAGTAAACCATTTGGAATATGAAATAATTCACAAGTTTCCTGAAAAGACATAATCCGCCCGGGCGCAGTGGCTCGCACCTGTAATCCCAGCACTTTGGGAGGCCGAGGCGGGCGAATCATTTGAGGTCAGAAGTTCGAGACCAGCCTGGCCGACATGGTTAAACCTGTCTCTACTAAAAATACAAAAATTAGCCAGGTGTGGTGGTGGGCGCCTGCAATATCAGCTACTTGGGAGGCTGAGGCAGAAGAATCGCTTGAAACCGGGAGGCAGAGGTTGCAGTGAGCAGAGACTGCACCACTACGTGACAGAGCGAGATTCCATCTCAAAAAAAAAAAAAAAGAGAGAGAAAAAAAAAGACATAATCCTGGAAGCCCTCTTGAAAAAGCACTTTTAAATAGAATTTTATTACAAAATTGGAAAAATCTACATCTGCCAAGCATAGAATACTACTCCTGACTAAGGATACTATAGAATAATGTAGAACTCCAGGGGATTAGTCCCAAATCATAGTATAAATGGTAACCCCTGGAAGAGCCCAGAATCCACCAGTCAGATTCACATTCTATTTTAGATTTCTATTTCAAGTTAAATATTCCCTTTTAAAATCTCTTAGTATAAATAAAATTATCCAGGGGCATATACTGTAAACATTCAAATGTAATGGCTAACTCAATAGACTCATAAAATTTATATAAGCAATATCAAGCAGAGAGAGTATTATGAATGTTTCAAAACCACCTATGGTTGAAAACGAACTTAAAGTATGCTGCTTGAAAATTAAATTCAGACCTTATTAAGTAGAAAACAAATTATTACCATCATTCCTAAGAGTTACTTTTTTTTTTTTTTTTTTTTACTACTTCCTGAATACTCACACAGATACAGTTTCAGCTTCTGGATTCTCTCTCTCTGTAGTCTCCATTCTCAAAATGTCCAATGTATTCATTTTATCTTTTTCCACGTGGTTCTGTGAATTTAATTTGCTACAATTTATCTACTTACAATAAACAGTTCAAACTTTGTAATAAACAAATGGAAATTAAAACAACAGAACTGGCCGGGCACGGTGGCTCAAGCCTGTAATCCTAGCACTTTGGGAGGCCAAGGCAGGCGGATTGCCTGAGCTCAGGAGTTCAAGACCAGCCTGGGGAACATGGTGAAACTGTCTCTACTAAAATACAAAAAATTAGCCAGGCATGGCAGCGTGTGCCTGTAGTCCCAGTTACTTGGGAGGCTAAGGCAGGAGAATTCTTTGAACGCAAAAGGTAGAGGTTGCAGTGAGCCGAGGTCACACCACTATACTCCAGCCTGGGTGACAGAGTGAGACTCCATCTCAATAAATGAATAAATAAGAACTTCATTTTTTGTACTTCTAACTAGAGGAGATTTTCTAAAAATCCTAAATGCAGATGAGAATTTTTTTTTTTTTTTGAGACAGGGTCATGCTCTGTCGCCCAGGCTAGAGTACAGTGACATGATCATAGCTCACTGCAGCCTTGACCCCCAAGGCTCAGGTGATCCTCCCACCTCAGCCTCCTGAGTAGCTGGGACTACAGGTGCACACTATGCCCAGCTAATTTTTTCATTTTTTGTAGAGACCAGATCTTGCCATGTTGCCCAGGCTTGTTTCAAATTCCTGGGCTCAGGTGATTAGCCCGCCTCAGCCTCCCAAAGGGCTGGGCTTACAGGTGTGAGCCACCACACCTGATGTACATTTTTTTTTTTTAAGAAAAATGGAATCACACTAAATATTTCAGAAAAATATTTCTGAAATGTTAATTACCAAAGGATACAAAACTGTATTGAAACCATGATTCAGTTGTGTAAAAGAAAATCTGTAAGGAGATATGTGAAAAGATTGGTTGCAAGGGAATAATGAAATTACAAGTATTAGAAGGAATGGCTGGGCATGGTGGCTCACGCCTGTAATCCCAGCACTTTCGGAGGCTGAGGCAGGTGGACCACCTGAGGTCAGAAGTTCGAGAGCAGCCTGGCTAACATGGTGAAACCCCGTTTCTATTAAATATACAAAAAATTAGCCGGGCATGGTGGCGCATGCCTGTAATCCCAGCCACTCAGGAGGCTGAGGGCAGGGGAATCGCCTGAACCCAGGAGGCGGAGGTTGCTGTGAGCCGAAATCACACCATGCACTCCAGCTGGGGCAACAAGAGTGAAACTAAACCTCAAAAAAAAAAAAAAAAAAAAAAAAGAAACAAGATTACAACACTTCAAAGAAAAAAAGGTAAAGAAAAAAATTACAAGTAATTTTTGTTTTAACTTTTACATGAATCTGTATTTTCCAAATTTTCTACAATTCAATAAACATAAGATTAGAATAATGTAACTGTACTATAAAGATTATGATAAAAGATATTTCACAAAACAGGAAAAGAAGCAAACCAACATCTTAAAAAGTGTTTTAGTTTAAAAAAAATGGTAACAATAGAATTCTGGAAAAGTTATAAGGAAACAGAAAGATTCATTTAGCAATGTAAATAGATTATTTATGACTGTCAGTTTCACAATGCATAACAATTCAGGAGACTCAGACATACCAGAAAATTTTTTAAAGTAATAAAAATAACAAATAACAAAAGACAATGCATAACAAGAATCACAAAAATATTTAAAACATTATTTGACCCAACGATCCCACCCGTCTCTAGAAATTTATACTTTGTTTCCTTGAGAAAGCCTTACTTACAAAATTGTTTGCTTCTAATGTACAAGAGTTAAAAAAACAAACAAAAATAGAAACAATCTGAACATCCATTAGTAGAGAACTGATTAGGTAAATCAATAACATGTTAACATGACACAGCTATTAAAAAGATCAATTGGACCCAAAAAAATGTAAATTAATAGTTTCAGAGGAAAAGGGTTTTTTTTTAATTTTTTATTTTTTTGAGACAGAGTTTCGCTCTGTTGCCCAGGCTGGAGTGCAGTGGTGCAATCTTGGCTCAATGCAACCTCTTCCCTTCCGGGTACAAGTGGTTCTTTTGCCTCAAACTCCCGAGTAGTTGGGATTACAAGCATGTGTCACAATGCCCAGCTAATTTTTTTGTATTTTTAGTAGAGATGGGATTTCGCCATGTTGGCCAGGCTGGTTTCAAACTCCTGGCCTAAAGTAAGCCACCAGCCTTGGCCTCACAAAGTGCTGGGATTACAGGTGTGTGCCACCGTGGTCAGCTGAAAAAGGTTTTGGCAGGGCACGGTGGCTCAATATGGTGAAACCTAGTCTCTACTAAAAATACAAAAATTGGCTGGGCATAGAGGCGCGCGCCTGTAATCTCAGCTACTTGGAAGGCTGAGGCAGGAGAATCTCTTGAACCCAGGAGGCAGAGGTTGCGGTGAGCCGAGATCACGCCATCGCACCACAGCCTGGGCGACAGGGCGAGACTCCGTCTCAAAAACAAAACAAAGAAAAGAAAAAGGTTTTAAACATTATACACATTATGGTTAAAAATTATAGAAATGTGTGCATACATAGATAAAGTTATTGGCCAGGCATGGTGCCCTCATGCCTGTAATCCCAGCATTCTGAGAGGCCAACGCACACGGATCACTTGAGGTCAGGAATTCAAGACAAGCTTGGCCAACATGACAAAACCTCGTCTCAACTGAAAATACAAAAATTAGCTGGGCGTGGTGGTGCATGCCTGCAATCCCAGCTACTTAGGAGGCTGAGGCACAAGAATAGCTTGAACCTGGGAGACAGAGGCTGCAGTGAGCCAGGATCATGCCATTGCACTCCAGCCTGGGCGACTGGGCGAGATCCTATGTCAAAAAAAAAAAAAAAAGACGGCAGGCGTGGTGGCTCACGCCTGTAATCCCAGCACTTTGGGAGGCTGAGGCAGGTGGATCACATGAGGTCAGGAGTTCGAGACCAGCCTGGCCAACAAGGTGAAACCCTGTCTCTACTAAAAATACAAAAATTAGCCAGGCATGGTGGCAGATGCCTGTAATCCCAGCTACTTGGGAGACTGAGGCAGAAGAATTGCTTGAACCTGGGAGGCAGAGGCTGCAGTGAGCCAAGATCGTGCCACTGCACTCCAGCCTGGGCAACAGAGCAAGACTCCATCTCAAAAAAAAAAAGAAATAAAGAAAGAAAAAGAATAAAGAAATTTATTGACCAGGTGAGCTGGCTCATGCCTATAACCCCAGCACACTGGGAAGCTGAGGCAGGAGAATCACTTGAGGCCAGGAGTTAGAAACCAGCCTGGTGAACACAGTGAAACTCCATTCCAAATTTTTGCTAACTTAAAACAGAAAATCAGGCCGGGTGCGGTGGCTCACGCCTGTAATCCCAGCACTTTGGGAGGCCAAAGCAGGCAGATCACGAGGTCAGGAGACAGAGACCATCCTGGCTAATGCGGTGAAACCCCATCTCTACTAAAAATACAAAAAATTAGCCGGGCATGGTGGTGGGCACCTGCAGTCCCAGCTACTCAGGAGGCTGAGGCAGGAGAATGGCGTGAACCTGGGAGGCAGAGCTTGTAGTGAGCCAAGATCACGCCACTGCACTCCAGCCTGGGAGACAGTGAGACTCCGTCTCAAAAAAAAAAAAAAATTATCTGGGTTTGGTGGCACACACCTGTAGTCCCAGCTACTGGGGAGGGTGATGTGGGAGAATCACTTGAGCTCAGGATTTCGAGGCTGCAGAGAGCCATAATACTGCCATTGCACTCCTGGACTCTGTTGCCTGGGCAATAGAGCAAGACCCTGTCTCAGAAAAAACAAACAGAAAGTTTGTAAAAGACAAACAGAAATGAGACTGCCTGTGTGTAGATGAGAATGTTGTGGGCAGAATTTAATATATAGCTGGTTTATGAAATATTTTAAATAAAAATTTTATAGAAGTAAACAGAAGACAGATTTATCACCACTGAGGATATCTGAAATGATTACATCCCAGGTTAAAGAAAATGTGTAAACAGGAGACTAATAAGATACGAACAAATCTAATGTTAATGTAAGTTCTTGTATCTGTTTTAATATCAGTAACAGTACTTTGTAATTTCAAGTCAACAACTTTTATTCCCAACTATCTAAAGAAAATTTTTATAATTTTAATTTCCATGAAATCTCTTACCCCATACCTTTTCAACTGAAGTTTTTGAATGTGAATTCTTGCTCTCTGACTCTGTTTTGCCTTGTGAAAGAACTGATTTCTTCCCAGCCCTTGACAAATTGGGTTTAGGTCTTTGGAAGCGACCTCTCAACATTGGTTTAACATTTTCTGTTTGATCAATTTCCCTGAAAAATTAACATTATTTAAATAGCATCAAACATGCAGTCATGTCCAAATGAACTTCTAAAATAACCTACTGAGAATTAGGAAGAACTCCTTTAAGAGCTTACTTAGAACAAGAGTAGCAAAGAAAACTTAAAGAGACTAACTTGTTCTATCTGATATTAAAAATACACCATTCATCATCAGTAATTAAAACAGTGTGGTACTAACATATGAATAAACAGATAAATGAAACAAATTTAAAATCCAGAAAATAACTTCAAAATAGACATGATTTTGGTATATATTGAAGGTAGCAACTCATAATAGGGAGGATAAGATGAAATGCAATACAATACAGTGAGGATAAAACGTAAGAAATATTAAGTAAGATTAAATGATGATGGGAAGGCCGGGCGCAGTGGCTCACGCCTATAATCCCAGCACTTTGGGAGGCTGAGGCAGGTGGATCACCTGAGGTCAGGAGTTCGAGACCAGCCTGGCAAACATGGTGAAACCCCGTTTCTACTAAAAATACAATAATTAGCCATGCATGGCGGCACGTGCCTGTAGTCCCAACTACTTGGGAGGCTGAGGCAGGTGAATCCCTTGAACCCGGGAGGCGGGGGTTGCAGTGAGCCAAGATGGTGCCACTGCACTCCAGCCTGGGTGACAAGAGCAAGACTCCGTCTCTGGATGTGGTGGCGAGCACCTATAGTCCCAGCTACCTGGGAGACTAAGGTGGGAGGATCACCTAAGCCTGGGAGGTTGAGGTTGCAATGAGCTATGATCACACCACTGCACTCCTGCCTGGGCAACAGAGTGCAACCCTGTCTCAAAAAAAAAAAAAAAAAAAAATTCATAAATGTTTAAATGTGTATGTGTGTGTGAGGGAGAGCTCAATCATACCTTTTTATACTTTTCGATGTTTGAACCCTATGAATGTATTGTCTATTTCAAAGACTGACATTTTTAAGTTTGATTTCCATTGTGACAGTACTTTACTGAAAAATAAGAATTTATGAACTGAATAGCTTTCTTTTTTTTTTTTTTTTTTGAAATGGAGTCTCGCTCTGTCGCCCAGGCTGGAGTGCAGTGGCATGATCTCAGCTCACTGCAGGTTCTACCTCCCAGGTTCACGCCATTCTCCTGCCTCAGCCTCCCAAGTAGCTGGGACTACAGGTGCATGCCACCACACCCGGCTAATTTTTTGTATTTTTAGCAGAGACAGCGTTTCACTGTGTTAGCCAGGATGGTCTCAATCTCCTGACCTCCTGATCCGCCCGCCTCGGCCTCCCAAAGTGCTGGGATTACAGGTGTGAGCCACTGCGCCCAGCCCATAAACTATTAATAGCTTTTAAGCCCATATGAGATGAGGAATTACAAGGAAGACTAAAAGGAAGTATAAAACTTTCAGATACCTCTTCAAAGGGAGATTTTTATGATGTTTTTAATCGTTTCTTGGGAAGATACTAATTTAACCAGTATCTGCATACTGGAAGATATACTTCCTTGAAATCACCAATATCAAAATATTATTTTGACACCAGGCATAAAAAATAACTCAAACCAAGTAAAAGTAAAATCTCATGGCAAATATTTAGGCTTCCAAATTGTTTTAGAATTTCGTAAGTTACCACCTTCCTAAAATTCATATCATTATTATATAACAGATATGAAAGAGAATCTTTCTGCAAAGAAATATAAAGTAAAACACCTGATGTTACACTCTGAACAGACTACAGTATAATTACATATTAAATGATTCCCTCTACTATTAATAAAGTATGTATTAATAATCCCCTCGAATCCCTAAATGAAGCAACATTATTATCATTTAAGAACCTTATCAAAATTTTATAAATAAATCCTATCGTATAAAATACTTACAGTGAATTATTTTTTAGGTCAACATTTCTTTCTTCTATACAACTACCCTCAGCATTATTCACCTCACACAATGCTCTAATTCCAACTTCGAATGAAGGCAAATCTGAAGTGCTTGATTCTGAAGACTCAGTTGCTACTGATGTGGCATCTTGTTGATTACTAAAAAAAAGAAAATATTTCAGAGAGAAAAGAATTCCTAATGATATATATTTTATAATTATTTTTAAAAATGTTAAACACACAAAATCACCATTTTGCAAGATGCTGCTTCACATTATAGAGTAATACAAACTGCTACATTAGCTTTTCTATGATCCATCTTGCATCATGTTATAAAAACTGTACCTCCAGAGAAAGCAGCAGCCACAAATTTACACGCTTAGGAACATGCTCAAGAAGTTTCAAAATGAAGGCCGGACAAGGTGGCTCACGCCTGTAATCCCAGCACTTTGGGAAGCCAGGGCGGGCAGATCACTTGAGGCCAGGAGTTTGGAACATCCTGGCCAACATGGTTAAATCCCATCTCTACTAAAAATACAAAAACTAGCTGGGCATGGTGGTGCAGGCCTATAATCCCACCTACTCAGGAGGCTGAGGCAAAAGAATCACTTGAACCCGGGAGGTGGAATCACACCACTGCACTCCAGACTGGGTGACAGAGCAAAGCTCTGTTTCAAAAAAAGAAAAGGCTTCAAAATGAGAAATTATTAAATGTGGTTCACAAATCAAACATGCGTAAAATAATACTAATATTTAGGAATTAGCTTTCATTAAAATTTATATAGGCAATCCTTGCTATGCAGGGTACTGTGTAACCAAAAGTCAAATAAAGCAAAGATACAGCTCCAATAAGCTCAAGTTGAGTTAACATAGTCCTACGCAAAGTGAGAACTACTATATTAAAAAATATTTCAAATATCAGCCAGGTGTGGTAGCACGTGCCTGTAGTCCTAGCTACTCAGAAGACTGAGGTGAGAGGATTGCTTAAGCCCAGGAAGTCAAGGCTGCAGTGAGCTGAGATTGCACCACTGCATTCCAGCCTGGGCGATAGAGCAAGACTCTGTCACAAAATAAATTTCAACTAACAATAATATAACTGATAGCCACGCACTGACCATTTCAACACATATTCACATTTAGCCATACCTTTTTCTTTTTTTCTTGTTCATTTTTTCTACTAGGTGTTTATGTTTTCCTGACTTATCAGCAAGAGTTCTCTATATATTTTTATTGTCTAGATATTACACATAAAATCTCCCGATCAGTAACTTGCCTTTTATTTTCTTTATGGAGGATTTGTTAACAGAAGTATTTAATTTTACTACCATCAAACTTATCAATCTTATCTTTTAAAGTCTGTGTTTTCTACATCTTAATAGAAATGTCTTACCTGAGGCCTTCACATTACAAAGATATTTTTCTACATTTCTTCTAAAAGTTGTAAAGATTTGTTTTATACATGTAGTCTTCAATCCATCAGGAAGTTAGCGGATATGGTAACACAAGGATCAAATATTATGTTTTTCAAATCTCAGCTCAATCTAATGAAGTTAGTTCTATCTTTGCCCGCTAATTTCTAAAGCTACCTCTGCCATATAACAGATTCCTAAATGTCTCTTCCTAAACTCTATATTCAGTTCCACTGAGTCAATTCATCTAACCCTACACCAATACCATGCTGCTTTAGTTACTCTAGCTCGAAAATTAGTCTACTAGCACAGTCCCTCTGCAAAGTTGGTGTTTTTTAAAACTGTCTTTACCATTCTTGAGCCTTTGTTCTTGTGTACATGACAATTTTAGAATCAACTCTTTGTTTTCCAAAACCAACTGGGACTTTAACAGTCATTACAAGGTTGTTTTTCCCCTAAATTAGAAAAAGCTAGGGCCAGACACAGTGGCTCATGCTGAGGTGCGAGGATTGCTTGAGCCCAGGAGTTTGAGACCAGCCTGGAAAACATCTCTACTAAAAAATGTTTTTAAAATTAGCCAGTCATGGTGTCCCATGACTGTAGTCCCAGCTACTCGAGATGCTGAGGTGATAGAATCATTTGAGCCCAAGAGTTCAAGGTTGTGGTGAGCTGTGATCACGCTACTACACTCTAGCCTGAGCAACAGAGTAAGACCCTGTCACAACATTTTTTAATTATTTTAAAAATTAGAAAAAGTCACGAGTACAGTTTTGTGTAGTTTATGAAATTAGGTGTATCTCTGAACTCACACTTTAGATTATCTGTCACCTAGGAACAAACAACTATGAGAAATAGCATATGATTCCACTTATGTGAATATCTAGATTAGACAGAGTCATAGAGACAGAAAGTTGTCTACATCCTTACCGCTCTCAATGAGCCTAATTTGATCTCAAACTAAGCAAGTCTGGTCCTGATTAATACTTGGATGAGAAACAGAAAGCAGATTAGAGATTATCAGTGGTTGCAGGGAGGGGAGAATGAGGAATTACTGCATAATGGGTACAGGTTTTCTGTTTCCAGTGATAAAATAGCTTTAGAAATAGTGCTGATGGCTGCACAACAATGTAAATGTAAATAATGCCACTAAATTGTATGCTTAAAAATAGTAAACAGCTTTAAGTTTGTTTTTGGCAATAGTTTCTTAGATATGACACCAAAAGTATAGGCAACAAAAGCAAAATTAGACAAATGGGACTACATTGAACTAAAAAACTTCTGTACGCCAAAGGAAACAGCAGAGTGAAAAGGCAACCTATGGAATGGGAGAAAATGTGTAAATCATATTTCTGATAAGGTCCTAAAATCCAAACTATATAAATAATTCTCAAAACTCAATAGCAAAAAAGAAAATAACCTAATTAAAAAATTGGGCACAGGACCTGAATAGACATGTCTCCAAAGAAGATATACAAATGGCTAACAGCTATGAAAGATGCTCAACTCAATAATTATCCGGGAAATGCAAATCAAAACAACCATAAGAAACCACCTTCTACCTGTTCAGAAGGACATTATTAATAAAATAAAAGATAACAAGTATTGAAGAAGATGTGAAAAAAACTGGAACCCTGTACATTGTTGGTGGTTATGTAAAATGGTGTACCCGCTATTGGAAACAGTATGGAGGGTCCTCAAAAAATTAAAAGTAGAACTACCATATGATCTAGCAACCCCACTTCTGGGTATTTATCCACAAGAACTGAAATCAGGATCTCAAAGAGATATTTGCACTCCCATGTTCAGTGATGCCAACAGACAAAAACAACCTAAATGTCCATAAAGAAAATGTGGTCTATACATGTACTAGAATATTATTTGCTCATAAAAAAGGAAATCTTCTCATATGCTACACCATGGATGAACCTTGAGGACATTACATTAAGTGAAATAAGCCAGTCACAGAAAGAAAAATACTGCATGAGGCTGGGCGCTGTGACTCACACCTGTAATCCCAGCACTTTGGGAGGCCAGGGCAGGTGGATCACCTGAGCTCAGTTCAAGACCAGCCTGAGCAAAATGGTGAAACCCTGTCTCTACCAAAAATACAAGAAATTATCCAGGTACGGTGGTACATGCCTGTGGTCCCAGCTTCTCAGGAGGCTGAGATGGGAGGATTGCTTGAGCCTGGGAGGTGGAAGTTGCAGTGAGCTGAGATCGTGCCACTGCACTCCAGCCTGGGTGACAGAGACCGACCCCATCTCAAAAACAAAACAAAACAAAACAAAACAAAGAAAGAATCATGATTGCCAAGGGCTGGGAGGCGGAGGAAATAGGAGTTGCTGTTCAATAGGTATAGAGGTGCAGTTATGCAAGGTAAAAAAAAATTCCAGAGATCAGCAATACAACACTGTGCTTATAGTTAACAACACTGTATAGTACACATAAAAAATCTATTGAGGGTAAATCTCATGATTTTATATTACAAAATAAAATTTAAAAACACACACACACACAGCAAGACACATCACATTCAAACTAACGAAAACCAAAAATAGAGAAAATCATTACAGAAAATGATAAACCCATGCAAACGCCAACCAAAAGAAAGCTACAATAGCAAAGTAAACATCAGAAAAAAAGAGCAATACCAGAAGGATAGTACATAATGATAAAGGGAATTTCACCAAGACAAAACAATCCTAGATATGTACACACCTAACAACAGAGCTTCAAAATATATGGAGCAAAAACAAATAGAACTGAAAAAAAGAAACAGGCAAATCCACAGTTACAGATGGAGACTTCAACACTCCTTTCTCAGTAATCAACAGATGTGGATAAAACCAGAAAAGACACAGAAAATACCTTAATGAAAGGATGGGGTCAGTTCTTTTCTCAACTTTTTCAGTGGAGGCAAAACCCACAATGCCATCTATGTTTTGTGTGCAGGAAAGCATCTGCTCCTTACTGCATTCACCTTCCTTTAGCTCAGGCCTTATAGCCTGACATTTATCTACAAATACAAAATGCATGTTATTCTAAAAAATGACAGCAAAAACATCTTTTTTAGAGCACAAAGGAATTTACCTATAACACTGTCTTTTCCTACAAAACCTTAAGCAACATTCAAGTCCCTATTTGCAAGGCACACATCTTATTTTTAGACCATAATAAAAACTTAACATATATGAGGATCAGCTCAAGCTTCTTGGGCAATTTGTAGCATCTTCCTTTTATCTTAAATTCTAAGTATTTAAAGTGGCTTATTTTATATGTCAAGTAGGGAAACTAAAAGTTGACTTAACTATTCTTTTGCTCCTTCAGAAGTATACTAATTAGTAACACAGTAATAGCTATCATTTATTAAGTACTTACTAAGCGGCAGGAACCCTTAAGTCCATCAGATGCATTATCTCATTTAATACTTGAAACAATCCTATTAAAATATATTAACATTAACCTCATAGAGAACCCCCTGAGTTCAGAGATCTTAAGTAACTTTCCCAATGCAATACTTAAGCAAGTAAAAAAGCTGGAATTTAAAGCAAGGTCTGTTTGATTTCTAAAACCTGGTTGTGAATCATTAAGCTGTTCTGCATTATACGTAATGACTCCAATAAGCCAAAAAAGAGCATAATATTGAGATGCCTACAAAGCATACTATGTTAGCTACCAGTACTCTTTTATTAAAATCAGATGGGTAAATCTGAACTACAGAAAACATAAATTTTATAGAAAGGTTGTTCTGGTCTGCTCCTACCTTTTCCTTGGTTATCAGCTTTAAATAATCTACATATGAACTCTTAAGGAAAGGGACCAAGACTCCCCCTCAAACTCTTAGCCCTCATCCCCAAGCAACTCATAAGTGGCAATATGTTTGCATTCAAAGAGTAAAAAAGAAAAAGGGAAGGAATACATATTCCACTAGTTCTTTTATAGGAACTAACCCCTTGTGGGTTCACAGAGGTGCTCTGTAGAGGTACAACATGAAAATCTGTGCTTTATTGACAGACATAGCAACATACTTTTAACTCTATATAGATGTGATTTCTAATCATAGTTAATGGGAATGCACAGGAGGTGATACATCTTAGAAACAAACTTTAGAGAACAATCTCCCCACTTTAATTTGTTTAATTTTTTTACATAAACTTTTTTAATTAAAAATAAACAGCGTTAGCACAGTACCATTAGTACAGAACCAATTAATAAGCATCATTAATTGCTATCTAGACAGAAAATTAAGTTACATACCATATTACTGTACATGTCTTCTCAAGTAATATAGAGGCTTTTTAAATATGTAAGAAACTTACTCTTGTGTTTTTCTCCTTTAGAAGGACCCGCCTGAACAGTGGCATTTTCTAAAAGATTGTTTACTCCCAGTTCATTAGCTCCATCTTGCTTCTTCCTCCTTCTTTTCTTTTGATTTAGGTCTACTTCTAATGCAACCTGCTCTGCATCCTCCCTTGATAAGGTCAGAGACTCTTCTTCAACTGTCTGAGCATCCTTCTGAGATCTTTCCGTGTCTGAAATTCTAGAACTCATAGACTCATCTGGATCATTATTCACTCCTTCACAGGCAACTTTTTTCACTGAAAACAAGAGAAATTACTATAAATATTTAAACAACCTAAAGAAAAATTTGTAAAGGTGGGAAAGAGACTCAAAGATGTCCTCTGTATTATTTATTTGTATGAACAAAAAACCTAAAGACAACCTAAAATGTCTAATGGGAAATGACTAAATAATATATAAAAATCCACGGAGCCAATAATAATAATGAGGTAAGATTATATGTAGTCATGTGAAAAATTTCAAAGCATATTGTTGCATTTAAAAAACCAAGCAGAACAAGATACACATAAAATCTCATTTTTATTAAACAAAAACAGTTACATATAGAGATGCTCCTTGACTTACACTGGGTTTCATCCCAATAAACCCATCATAAGTTGAGTATACTGTAAATTGAAAATGCATTTAATACAGGCTGGGCATGGTGGCTCACACCTGTAATCCCAGCACTTTGGGAGGCTGAGGAGGGTGGATCATCTGAGGTCAGCAGTTCGAGACCAGCCTGGCCAACATGGTGAAACCCCATCTCTACCAAAAATACAGAAATTAGCTGGACATGGTGGCAGGCGCCTGTAATCCCAGCTGCTCGGGAGGCTGAGGCAGGAGAATCACTTGAACACGGGAGGCGGAGGTTGCAGTGAGCCAAGATCGCACCATTGCACTCCAGCCTGGGCAACAAGAGCAAAACTCTGGGCTGGGCATGGTGGCTCACGCCTGTAATCCTAGCACTTTGGGAGGCTGACACAGGCAGATCACTTGAGGTCAGGAGCTCAAGACCAGGCTGGCCAACATGGTGAAACCCCGTCTCTACTAAAAATACAAAAATTAGCTGGGTGTGGTGGTACTTGCCTGTAATCCCAGCTACTTGGGAAGCTGAGGCAGGAGAATCGCTTCAACTGGAGAGGTGGAGGCTGCAGTGAGCTGAGATGGCACCATGGCACTCCAGCCTGGGCAACAAGAGCAAAACTCCGTCTCAAAAAAAAAAAAAAGTTCTGGCTGGGCGTGGTGGCTCACACCTGCAATCCCAGTACTTTGGGAGGCCAAGGTGGGCGATCATTTGAGGTCAGGGGTTTAAGACCAGTCTGGCCAATATGATAAAATCCCATCTCTACAAAAAAATTACAAAAATTAGCTGGGCATGGTGGCACATGCCTGTAATTCCAGCTACTCAGGAGGCTGAGGTGAAAGAACTGCTTGAACTCGAGCAGTGAAGGATTCAGTGAGCCGAGATCAGGCCACTGCACTCCAGCCTGGGCAACAAAGTGAGACCCTGTCTCAAAAAAAAAGTTCTTACATTAAGTAAGATACAGTGAGTTACTCATGTTATCACCTGTAACATACAAGAAGATACATAATCTTCTACGATTATGTGTAAGTAAAAAAAAAAGACTACTAAGAATAAAGGTATTTTGTAGTTATCAATACTACTTTTTAAAAGATATGCCCCAGAAGAAGAAATTCTAGCCTAGCTTTGAACAGTAAAGAGTTAATTTTGCAGGCTTGACTGCTATCCTTTGAAAATCCTTCTTATAAGGTTGGCCCTTGGGCCATGTCTCAGAATTTGGTTCTGGGAAGGGTTCCTACCACCCTAACTGATAAGAGTGGCTCACTGTGCCTTAGCTGTACAATGTGGTTTATGCTGAACTGCTTTTCTTTTGAAAATCCGAAATTTTTGTATGTTCCAGGCAGAGGATGCTGAATCCTTAGTCTTCCTAGTGGATAATCGAACCCCGGTGGTGGTCGTGGGGACCCCCAACACAGGCTCTCACCATCCCAGGTTTCAGTTCTGCCTCTGCCACTACACACACTGTGAGTCCTTAGGAAAAAGTGTCTTACGATCTCTGGGGCTGTTTCTTGGTGATTAAAACCAATACAAAGGGCCGGGCACGGTGGCTCACGCCTGTAATCCCAGCACTTTGGGAGGCCGAGGCAGGCATATCATGAGGTCAAGAGATCAAGACCATCCTGGCTAACATGGTGAAACCCCGTCTCTACTAAAAATACAAAAAAAATTAGCCGGGTGTGGTGACGGGCACCTGTAATCCCAGCTACTCGGGAGGCTGAGGCAGGAGAATGGCGTGAACCCGGAAGGCGGAGCTTGCAGTGAGTCGAGATCGTGCCACTGCACTCCAGCCTGGGCAACAGAGCGAAACTCTGTCTCAAAAAAAACAGAAAAAAAGAAAAAAACAACACAAAGGGGGCTAAAATGTAAGCTAGCTAACATATAAGGTTCCCTATAGTTCCGAGCGTCTTCTTTATGTGATTATAGCTAAACATTGTCCTTATAGACCAGAGTTCAAATAGTTAAGAAAACATAAGCCTAAAAATAAAAATACCTACATATATACAATTTCTACCTGTTACAACTCAACATTAGCCTTCAGAAATAAGTTACGCTCAACCAATACAGTCTAGTCACAACCCCAGAAGATTAGAGTTCCTTTTTTTAATCCTAGAATTTTATACCAGATTTGTTTTACAGAGGAAAATGATAATAAATAATCAAACATGAAATACAACACTCCAAATTCTGATGCTCTTTGACTGGCTACAACTATCCTCTATGCTAGAGAGATATCAAATAACCCAATCACGCCAGTTAAAAATTTTAAAAGAAAGCTATTGTTTTGGACCAGATAACTAGTTGATTGAAAAAACATATACTCCCTCCAACTGGATGCTTTGATGATCTTAACTACCTGAGCTACACATGAACTCTCAAAGGCCTGAGGGACAATATTGCAAGTTTATTACTACTAAGTAAACTATCACACTTCCTTTTAAAATCAATACCTTTTACATTTTTCCGTGGTTTGGTGGATT
Source organism: Homo sapiens (assembly GCF_000001405.40). Lineage (NCBI taxonomy): Eukaryota > Metazoa > Chordata > Mammalia > Primates > Hominidae > Homo > Homo sapiens. The sequence goes on along the minus strand of NW_025791777.1, from coordinate 1,973,734 downwards.
TCTTCTCCTTTAAACTGTGATTTTTAACAGATTTTTGTTTTCTTTTCTCTTCTTCAGCAAGAACTTTCTGAAGCAAATGAGCAAAAAAATCGAAGTCAAAAGGGCGCTTTTCCTCTGTTTAAAGAAAAGGAAAAGAACTTTCAAGTTTTTATTTTTAAAAGCTACTTCTAGCTTTTAAAGTATCATAACATCAAAAGCAAATGGGTTTGTTTATCAGTAGGAGAACAGAAAAACAAATACACAACAGAACACCACTCAGCAACAGAATAGGTTGGTCTTAGCAGGGAAATAGATTAGTTCACATCAGAACACCACTCAGCAACGAAACAAATAAACTAGTTTATTACAAATAATAATTTATTACAAATTTGTAATAATTTGTTTATTGCAAATAAACTAGTTTTAAACAAAACAAAAGGAACAAACTACTGATACATGCAATAATATGAGGGAATCTCAAAAACATACTGAGTGGAAGAAAACAGATACTAGGGTACATACTATATGATACCATGTATAAGATATTCTAGAACACACTAAGCTATCTATGGTGATTAAAATGAAAATAGTGGTTGCCTTGGGCCAGGAGGACAGCATTTGATTGTTCAGAAAGGGACATAATAGACCTTGTGAAGTGATGAAAACATTTCCTCTATTGTTTGGGGTAGTGGTTACACAGGCATATTCTTTGTCAAAACTTGAACTACACTTTGAGCTGTGTATAAATATAAATCAATTTTTTTATGGACTGAGAAGTCCTTGAAATGCCTGTTCACCACCATATGCCCTACCTTTATCACAACCATTTCACCATTTACTCTTATAAGTATCAGCAAAGTGGGAAGTAAATGAATTTAATCAGGAACATGCCCACTAAATACCTATCAACAGCATTATATCTGAAAGTAATCAGTGAACACTCCAGGAATGAATCCAGACCAGGAGGCAAATCCTTGCTTGAACTTAAAGTCAATGTAGAGAAAATGGTGCTCTATGCACATAAGCCGAAGACTGGTTTGATTACAAGATAGCCTCAGAAAAGAAGGTATATACTAAAATAAAAAGAATCTCTGGAAACTAAACCCAAATCTGGGATTCCTGAAGACCCTATTTCACTGTTGACCCAGACTTCATTTGTTCTGACTCTCCACAATGATTCTGAAAGACATAGCACTCAAAGAATCATAAAGGATCTCCACATGGTTCTCAGAGAAATTCAAAACATAAGTTCTCTCAAAAAACTTATATAGGTTTTAATTTAAAAAAAAAATTTCCAATAGAAAGCCTCCAAATCAATGAGTTGTTTCTAGTTTTGAGATAGGATCTTGCTGTGTTGCCCAGGCTGGCCTCGAATTCTTCGGCTGAAAAGATCCTCCTGCCTCAGCGACTCCTGAGAGTAGCTGGGCCTATAGGCATACAACACTGTATCCTGTTTAAGATCAATAAATTTTAAAAATATCTATTATAATAGTCTATAAAAATGCTTCACAATCCAAATAGACTGTTTATAGATTTACGAATTATTTTCTGACTATAATGTGTTACACTTAATGAAGTTTCAGGACCACTTCTCTAATATGGAATGGGCTGAGGAGCACAATATTCCAGATCTTCTAAGAGCCATTCCTCAAAGCAGTTTCCCTAAAGACCCGATAAAACACTGGGTGTAGGATCCACCCACCTACCTTAGTGTCTACTCATAAAATAAATATACATGCTACATAATGTAGGTACTCTCTACATTTGGATTTTTTTTTTCTAAAATTAGCACTATGGCTAATCTTACGACTAAATAGACATTGAATACATTTATTAATCATAAAATACTGATAATTATAAATCCACAAAAAATATATTCCTGTCCACAGCTGTGGTGAAAAAAAGACCTATCTTGTAATCAAAAAATACAAGAACTATTTTTAACAGTAAATGTATTTTTCTTTATAGATCCTTTGATATCTTTCTCTAGACTTGAAGAAAAATATGTTAATTTTAATGAGGATTTTAGTTAGAAATTGCAAGATATCTATCATTCCTTCAGATGAGATCTAAATTCAAATGCTAGTGTATCTCTTCAGACAGAACTTCCCTAATGATCCAATGATCATTAGGAAAAAAGAGACCTAAACATCCACCCTCTCTTTTTTCTTCTTTTTGGAAATGAATCACTACCTAAAATTATGCTTATCAACTATATTTCTTCCCCCATCCAATCAGACTTAAGGTTCTAAATGCAGGATTCTCATCTGCCATTTATCTTCCACCATTACATGCTCAATACCTAGAACAATGACTACCATATAGTAGGTGGTCAGTGTTATTGACTGAATGACTGATTAGTCATTCAGAACCAGAAAGAACCATCTATATAACTAATAGTACTGTCTTCCAGAAACAATGATCTCCTCCCATACAGTTCCTTCAGAATAAATAACACTTAGAAGTGGTAGCATCAATCCCTCCATAACTTCTTGGACTTAGAACTGTTTACCTGCACCTAGATGTTCTGGATAATCTCCTGCCAATATATTTGTAGCAAGTGCCAGACCCATACTGCTAAACAGAAAAATTTCAGACTGCTTCCTCTTAATGCCAATACAGGAACAAAACAAATCTAAAACACACTAAAGCCAAAGACAAAAGACTGGTCATTTTTTAGGCTCTTCAAGTAATACTTTGTAAAAGAGGTCTTAATACTTACGGAATGCTTTGTCTATTCTCCATCCATTTGTTTTCTCTTCCCGTTTAAATTTATTCTGTTAACAACAAAAAACCCTATGGTAATTTTCTCTCATAAAACAAGCATTTTTTTTTAAATGCAGTAAGCATTAAAATGAAACTCTTAGGAATAACATACTGCTCTCTACTTAATATGTCTTTGCCAATAGGCAAGTTACTTAAACCTTCGGCTTTTTAAAAATAAGGATGAAAGATTTTTACTGAGCTTCTTGATTCTCATTACCAATAGCATGAATCAGCAATGGAAGCTGGATTTACAGAGGACAGAAAAAAATAAAGTCAACAAACATGAAAGCAGATCAAACCTATGACTAAGCTCACTGGTATTAACTTTTAAAAAATTAAGTATTCGTAACAGGTTAAACCTCTGACATCATTGTTCTAATATATTTCAAGTAGCATGGAGAGAAGACTATAGAGAAACAACTAAGTGAAATTTTGAAGCAGGCCAAGTTTATCCTGACAAACTTCTATATATTAAGGCACATTTCCTCACATTTTTCTCAGCCCCAAAAATCCCTGTCCTCAGTTTACTACCAGATTACTTCCATTAAGAGGGAGATGTTTAAGGCTTAAGGCTCAATCCATCCTAAAGTCATTAGGAAGACTGAGGGCATAAGTTTGTGTCTGAAGACGTCTGATCACGCAGACACATCGTAGGAGAGGAAACAAACAGCCAATGTTTCCCATCTACACGTCAGTGATCTACAAGTTTTTATTAAAAGCACAAAAATAAAGCTTTTTAATTGCAAAAAAGAGAGAGAGAATATCACATAAAACAAAGGAAGTACTTCATGCCCCCTTCCTCCCTTCAAAAGAACTTAACCACTAATATGACTTGTAAAGCAATCACTTTCTTGTATTTCCTTATTGTTTATGACCCAAGTGTGTATTCTTAGATGATACAGTTTAGCCTTGCCCATATTTTTAAAACCTGATATGACATTAACATCTTTTAATGTACAGGTTGCCCTTCTTTCCCATTCTTTTGTTTTTCTTCACAAAACTTATTATCAATACAGAAGTTTTCAAAGATAATCTTATTTCTGCCTTAAAAGATCATACTGTTATTTAAACATTTCCTCAAAAGTTAACAAATGTTACCTCCACAAAAAATGATTGGCTATAAACACTAAATTAAATGTCCTAAAAGAAATATCAATAGGCTTCAGGCATTTAATTCTAAAACAGTGCTACCTCATATTTTACTTAATTGGTAATATAACTCAGAACAATTTAAAACTTTCTCAAAGAAATATATTGAAACTAGTCAATGATTTCATAGGTAAGAACCAGTAACAGGCCAAATTCCATGATCACAAAATAAATCCCATAATTTCCACTTCTGGCCTTGGCAAAGTAACTCATTATGGACAGGTCCTACATATCCAACTCCACCACGAATGACTTTTAACACTGACAAAATATATGCATCAATTATTTTCAAGCAAAGGACAATAGTGAGAGCAAGACTACAATCACGGAGAGAAGGAAAACAGACAAGATGTGCCCATGTTTACCTTGGCTCTCTGCCTGGGCTCAATTTCCTAACCAAGGAAAGGGAGGTGAAGGCCAAACAGGGTACAGCAATCCAACTAGGCTGCAGAGGTAGGGAATCTTTAGGAGCATAGTTCTAAAAAGGAACTGTGTAGAGGGGTACCTCACAGGCCTGGTGGAAATACCCCATGATACCTTGGCCTAAGTATGGGTTGCATATGTCCAGAATATAAGGCTTAAAAGAGAACAGCTGCTAAAGCCATGAAGGCAGAAGGAAGATGCTAAAAGTCATAAAACACCATATGACAATAGAGTTCAGGTGCATCCTAATGGAAAGACCTCATTAATACCCAAATACATTCACCTCAGACACCAGAAAGATCACCATTAGAGATAAAAACGATACCCTAGAGTAGCCTTTCTCTACCAGGGATGTAGCATGAGAATTAAGTACTAATGCATTAAAGCAGCCACTGTATGCAATGCATTCCCTTCTCTCACTTATCTATTAATAGTATAGTATTAGTATAACCATCCTTAGAGAACTTAGAAAATAATAACTCATGCCTACCATGAGACTGTTCTGGGAAAAGAAGAAAATAATAAAATATAATAGTAATTCAAATTATTTTCTGTAAATCAGATGAGAAATCCCATTGGAGAAAGGATGTCCTAGATTAAAGACCAGTCTAGATCTGCCTCAACAAAGCTTTAAGACAAGCCTTAACAGGAACAAAGAAGTTGGCAGTACATTAACAGTTTTCCAGAACAAAAGTCAACACTATTTTTTATTCTGTTTTGTTTATTGAAACAGAGTCTTGATGTCTTCCAGACTGGAATGCAGTGCTGTGATCACAGCTCACTGCAGCCTTGATCTCCCAGGCTCAAGCAATCCTCCTGCCTCAGCCTCCTGAATTGCTAGGGGACATGTGCCACCAAGCCTGGCTTTTTTTTTTTTTTTTTTTTTTTCTTTGTAGAGATGGGATCTTGCCATGTTGCTCAGTCTGGGTTTGAACTTCTGGGCTCAAGCAATCCTCCCGTCTCAGCCTCCCAAAATACTAGGATTAGAGGTGTGAACCACCGCGCCTGGCCCACTGCGCTTTAAAAAAAAAAAGAAAAAACATAATCCAGACACTCTACAACACATCATTCACAATGTCTGGTATGTGATTTCATTTTTTTTTTTTGAGACGGAATCTTGCTCTGTCTCACAGGCTGGAGCGCAGTGGCGCGATCTCAGCTCACTGCAACCTCTGCATCCCGGGTTCATGCCATTCTCCTGCCTCAGCCTCCCAAGTAGCTGGGACTACAGGCGCACGCCACCACGCCTGGCTAATTTTTCACATTTTTAGTAGAGACAGGGTTTCTGTGTTAGCCAGGATGGTCTTTATCTCCTGACCTCGTGATCCACCCGCCTTGGCCTCCCAAAGTGTTGGGACTACAGGCATGAGCCACTACGCCTGGCCTAGTATGCAATTTCAAAAAAACTCACGGTTGGCCGGGCATGGTGGTTCACTTCTTATAATCCTAGCACTGTGGGAGGCTGAGGTGAGTGGATCACTTGAGGTCAGGAGTTCGAGACCAGCCTAGCCAACATGGTGAAACCACATCTCTGCTAAAAATACAAAAATTAGCCAGGCATGGTGGCATGCACCTGTAATCCCAACTTGGGAGGCTGAGGCAGAAGAATCACCTGAACCCAGGAAGCAGAGGTTGCAGTGAGCTGAGATCATGCTACTGAACTCCAGCCTGGGCAACAGAGTGAGATTCCATCTCAAAAAAAAAAAAATGGCCGGGCACAGTGGCTCACGCCTATAATCCCAGCCCTTTGGGAGGCCAAGATAGGTGGATCACTTGAGGTCAGGAGTTCGAGACCAGCCTGGCCAACGTGATGAAACCCCACCTCTACTAAAAATATAAAAATTAGGCTGGGCACGGTGGCTCACGTCTGTAATCCCAGCACTTTGGGAGGCCAAGGCGGGTGGATCACAAGGTCAAGAGATTGAGACCATCCTGGCCAACATGGTGAAACCCTGTCTCTACTAAAAATACAAAAAAAAAAAAAAAATTAGCTGGGCATGGTGGTGCGCGCCTGTAGTCCCAGCTACTTGGGAAGCTGAGGCAGGAGAATCACCTGAACCCAGGAGACAGAGGTTGCAGTGAGTTGAGACAGCACCACTGCACTCCAGCCTGGCGAGAGAGTGAGACTCCGTCTCAAAATAAAAAAAAAAAAATTAGCCAGGCATGGTGGTGCGCACCTGTAGTCCCAGCTACTCAGGAGGCTGAGGAAGGAGAATCGATTGAACCTGGGAGGCGGAGGTTGCAGTGAGCCAAGATCACGCCACTATACTCTAGACTGGGTGACATAGCAAGACTCTGTCTCAAACAAAAACAAACAAAAAAACCCGTGACAGACCAAAAAATTAATTATTTTTTAAAACCCACATGCCATGAGAAAAGATAGGAAAATGTGATAGGAAAAGAAAAGAAAAAGTCAAGCCTGGGCACGGTGGCTCACGCCTGTAATCCCAGTACTTTGGGAGGCCGAGGCAGGCAGATCACGAGGTCAGGAGATCGAGACCATCCTGGCTAACACAGTGAAACCCCGTCTCTACTAAAAATACAAAAAATTAGCCGGGCGTGGTGGTGGGCGCCTGTTGTCCCAGCTACTTGGGAGGCTGAGGCAGGAGAATGGCGTGAACCCGGGAGGCGGAGCTTGCAGTGAGCCAAGATTGCGCCACTGCACTCTGGCCTGGGCAAAAGAGCGAGACTCCGCCTCAAAAAAAAAGAAAAAGAAAAAGATCCCATTCCCTGGCAAGCAGACTCAGAAAAAAAAGAAAAAAAGAAACAGATTCCAATATGATCTAGATATTAGAATAAACAAACAAAAAAGTTAAAGGAGCCATTCATTATAGAGATGTTTCACGATTCAGAGGAAAGTATAGTGAAGAGATGGGGAAATCTCAGCAGAGAAATGGAAACTATAAAAAATAACCAGGAGGAGGCCAGGTGCAGTGGCTCACACCTGTAATCCCAGCACTTTGGGAGGCTGAGGCAGGCGGATCACTAGGTCAGGAGATCAAGACCATCCTGGCTAACATAGTGAAACCCCGTCTCTACTAAAAATACAAAAAATTAGCCGGGCGCATGACGGGCACCTGTGGTCCCAGCTACTCGGGAGGCTGAGGCAGGAGAATGGCGTAAACCTGGGAGGCAGAGCTTGCAGTGAGCCGAGATCGCACCACTGCACTCCAGCCTGGGCAACAGAGCGAGACTCCATCTCAAAAATAAAATAAAATAAAATAAAATAAAAACCAGGTGAAAATTACAGAAATAAGAAATACAGTATCAGAAATAAAATATTCACTAAATGGGTTTAACAGCAGATTGAAGACAAAAGACAGAGTCAGTGAACTTGACGCTATGACAATAGAAACTATCAAAACTGAAATGGAGGAAAAAAGATTGGAAAAAGGTGGTCAGAGCTTTGGTAACCTGTAGAATGTCACATGGGGTAAACTATGTTGGTGGAGTTCCAGAACGAGAGGATTAAACAGAGAAACTATTAAAAGTAATTTAAAATTTCCCTAATACAGTAAAAGATGCAAGAAGCTGAGCAAACTCAAAACTAAAGCTAGGCATATCATCGTCATACAGCTGAATACTAAAATTAAAAAAAAAAAATCCTGAAAACAGCCAGAGAAATATAATTAATCATATATGAGGCAAGAACGATATGATTACTGTCGACTTTTCATCAGCAACACTGAAAGCCAGGAGACGATACAATGACATCTTTAAAAGACCAAAAAGAAAAAACTGTCAAACTGGCAAAATATATCATTCAAAAACAAGGCTGAAAGGCTGAAATAAAAACATTCAGATAAATGAAAGCTCAGAAAATTTTTCAACAGTAGACCTGTCATTTGGACCTACAGGAAGAAATGAAAACACCAAAAATGGTAAATAAATAGTTAAATGCTAAAAACTAGCTTTTTTCTACTTGATTTCCTTAAAAGACAAAAGACTCATATATATCTATATGTAGAGAGAGAGAGCTGTTTTTTTGTTTGCTTGTTTTAGTTTTTGTTTTTGAGACAGAGTTTTGCTCTTGTTACCCAGGCTAGAGTCCAATGGCATGATTTTGGCCATCGCAACCTCCACCTCCCGGGTTCAAGCGACTCTCCTGCCTCAGCCTCCCGAGTAGCTGGGATTACAGGCATGTGCCACCACGCCTGGCTAATTTTGTATTTTTAGTAGAGACAGGGTTCCTCCATGTTGGTCAGCCTGGTCTCGAACTCCCAACCTCAGGTGATCCGCCTGCCTCGGCCTCCCAAAGTGCTCGGATTACAGGCGTGAATCACCACACCCGGCTGTTTATTTTTGTTTTTAAGGCCAGTAGAGTAGGATAAAAGAAATTTATCTGGGCCAGGTATGGTGGCTCAGCCTGCAATCCCTGCACTCTGGGAGGCTGAGGCGGCAGATTGCTTGAGCCCAGGAGTTTGAGACCAGCCTGGGCGACATGGCAAAACCCCATCTCTACAAAAAAATAGAAAAATTAGGTGGGCATAGTGACACATGCCTGTAGTTGGGCACTTGGGATGCTGAGATGGAAGGATTACTTGAGCTCAAGAGGCTGAAGCTGCAGGTAGCCACAATCACACTACTGCACTCCAGCCTGGGCAACAGAGAGTGAGACCCTATATCAAAAAAAAAAAAGAAAAAAAAAAGAAAAAATTTGTCTGAACATGGGTCAGCTGGTGTTTAAAAAAAATTTTTAATATTAAAAAAGAAATCTGTAATCAGTTGTGATCATTTAGTTGTAAACACCAGTGCACTTGGACCAGCTGCCTCATTAAACTATTATAAAATAAGTTCACTGTAAGGTGAATTTAAAAATATATAGGGCTAAGTGCAGTGTCTCATGCCTGTAACGCCAGCACTTTGAGAGGCTGAAGCAGGAGGATTGCTTGAGCCTAGGAATTTGAGACAAGCCTAGGCAACACAGTAAGACCTCTTCTCTACAAAAAATAAAAAATTTAGTCAAGCACAGTAGCGCACACCTGTGGTCCAGGAGGCTGAGGCAGGAGGATTGCTTGAGCCCAGGAGGTCATGGCGGCAGTGAGCTATGGTTGCACCGCTGCACTCCAGCCCGAGCAACAAAGACCCTGTCTCGAAAGAAAAAAAAAGAAAAGGAAAGGAAAAAGAGGCTGGGCTCGGTGGCTCATGCCTATAATCCCCGCACTTTGGGAGGCTGAGGTAGGCAGACCACTTGAAGTAAGGAAGTTTGAGACGAGCCTGGCCAACATAGCAAAACCCCATCTCTACTTAAAAAAAAAAAAAGGTGGGGGGGCCGGGCACGATGGCTCACGCCTGTAATTCCCAGCACTTTGGGAGGCCGAGGTGGGCAGATCACGAGGTCAAGAGATCAAGACCATCCTGGCTAACAGGGTGAAACCCCGTCTCTACTAAAAATACGAAAAATTAGCCAGGCGTGGTGGCGGGCGCCTGTAGTCCCAGCTACTCGGAAGGCTGAGGCAGGAGAATGGTGTGAACCCGGGAGGCGGAGCTTGCAGTGAGCCTAGACCGCGCCACTGCACTCCAGCCTGGGTGACAGAGCGAGACTCCATCTCAAAAAAAAGAAAATTAGCTGGGCGTGGTGGCACGCGCCTGTAATTCCAAGCTACTCAGGAGGCTGAAGCAGGAGAAGGGCTTGAACCTGGAAAGCAGAGGATGCAGTGAACTGAGATCGTGCCACTGCACTCCAGCCTGGATGACAGAGCGAGACTCTGTCTAAAAAAAAAAGGGAAAAAAAAGTCAAAGCTGGCCATGTTATTTGGGGCTATGGAAAAAACAAACAAATAAAAGGCTGAGATTTTCAGGAGCTTCGTGGTTGGTGAATGCAACCACGTGCTGGGAGGTCAGTGCACCCCAACTCCTCCAGCAGAAGTGCCTGCATTCAAGACCCTTCCAGACCGTACTCTATGAATCTCTTCATCTGTATCCCTTATAATATCCTTTATAATAAACCAATAAACAGCTGGTTCAGTGTGCTGAACTTTGCTAGCAGCTGAGAAAGGAAGCTAGAAAGAGGCAAGCTCCTGATGCAAAGGTTGGCGTGCAGCATAATTTAGGCCTTAGAGAAGCTGGGGTTTTAACACTTCACAAGATGTGTTTTCTCAAAGCTGCCAGTTCTTTTAGAACTCATCAAATTAGGCTGCTCCAACCAGCTTTACAGGGAATGGATTTAAGGCAAATCTTGTGTTTAAAGAGATTTAGAGGAAGCCTGAAGAGGAAAGTGGACAGATTGTGAAGAAAATCCGTGGTATTTTTGCCTTTAAGGTGAAGAATGAATGGCCTAGGGGGTAAAGAAGCCACCTAGTGGTGGAGGTAAAGAACACAAAGGATCAGTGCTTTCTAACTCTAACTCAGATGAGAAAGCTGACCACACAATCACAAAGACTGACTAGGATTTACTGGCTTTAGTGATTGAAGTGGTAAAATGAATCCTCAGTTCTCCTTCTTTCAAGGCAAAGGGAAAATCACTGGCAATATGAAGTTACAAAGTTTTCAGCTTCAGCCGAGCAAAGGTAAGCTGCGAGGAACTCCCTTTGGCTACTTTTGAAAATCAAGATATCTCATCTCACAGATAGGAATTCATACAATTTCATTGTCAGAATTTAGGCTGAAACTACACATTGAAAAATAACATGAGATAGATTTGTTTTAAAAGGTGTGACCAATCCTGGTTTTCCTAACCTCTGGGTGAATACAGCCTGATAATGAACTACTGCTTTGCTGAACTGGAAACAACTGTGCATTACAAAGTTAATACGTTATTTATGGCCTGGAGTAAAACTGAGCTTCAGAATAAAATTAGGAACAGCAAAATACAAAAAAAGTACATAAACAAAAGCTCCCATTTTGCTTATGAAGTGCACTGAAGGGCCAGGCACAGTGGCTCATGCCTGTAATCCCAACACTTTGGGAGGGCAAGGCAAGAGGATCACTTGAGTCAAGGAGTTCGAAACCAACCTGGGCAACACAGTGAGACTTAGTCTCTACAAAAAAATTTTTTTAATTAGCTGGGCATAGTGGCATGTGCCTGTAGTCCCAGCTACCTAGGAAGCCGAGGTGGGAGGATCATTTGAGCCCAGCAGGTAAGAGGCTGCAGTGAGCCAGGACAGAGGCTGCAGTGAGCCGTAATCATGCCCATGTACTCCACACTGTGTAACAGAGCGAGGCTCTGTCTCAAAAAAAAAATTAAAATAAAGTACATTTAAGAATTATTCTGCTGAAGATGTAATTTAAGAGTTCCCTGGATGAACTAGAGAAGAAAAAGACTACCAATAGCTGGCAAGTAATTAGTGTTATGCATTTAATAACCTTAATCAGTAATAATTAATAATTCTTAAAATTTTATACTGGGGGCCAGGCATGGTGGCTCACGCCTGTAATCCCAGCACTTTGGGAGGCCAAGGAGGGTGGATCATATTTTTTTTTTTTTTCAGACAGAGTCTTGCTCTGTTGCCTACGCTGGAGTGCAGTGATGCAATTTCGGTTCACTGCAACCTCTCCCTCCCGGGTTCAAGCAATTCTCTTGCCTTAGCCTCCCGAGTAGCTAGGACTACAAGTGCCTGCCACCACACCTGGCTAATTTTTGTATTTTAATAGGATCGGGGTTTCATCATGTTGGCCAGGCTGGTCTTGGACTCCACACCTCAAGTGACCCACCCCCCTCAGCCTCCTAAAGTGCTAGGATTACAGGCGTGAGTCACCACGCCTGGCCAACCTCAGGAGTCAGAGACCCACCTGAGCAACCTGATGAAAACTCATCTGTACAAAAAAATACAAAAATTAGCTGGGCATAGTGGTGTTAGTGGTGTGCACCTATAGTCCCAACTTCTTGGGAGGCTAAGGCAGGGGATTGCTTGAGCCTGGGAGGTGGAGTTTGCAGTCAGCCAAGATCATGCCATTGCACTCCAGCCTGGACAACAGAGCAAGACTGTCTCAAAAAAAAAAAAAATCAAAATTTGTGGGACACAGCTCTAGTGATGCTTAAAAGGAAATGTACAGGCCAGGCACGGTGGCTCATGCCTGTAATCTTAGCACTTTGGGAGGCTGAGGCAGGAGGATCACGAGGTCAGGAGATCGAGACCACCCTGGCTAACATGGTGAAACCCCATCTCTACTAAAAATACAAAAAAATTAGCTGGGCATGGTGGTGGGCGCCTGTAGTCCCAGCTACTCGGGAGGCTGAGGCAGGAGAATGGCGTGAACCCGGGAGGCGGAGCTTGCAGTGAGCCGAGATCCGCCACTGCACTCCAGCCTGGGCGACAGAGCAAGACTCTGTGTCAAAAAAAAGGAAATGTATAGCTTTAAATGTCTACTTTAAAAAAGAAGGCTTTAAAATCAGTGCTCTAAGTTTTCATCTTAAGAAGCTAGAAAAGGGAATTGAACAATGAGAACACATGGACACAGGAAGGGGAACATCACACACCGGGGCCTGTTGTGGGGTGGTGGGAGGGCGGAGGGATAGCATTAGGAGATATACCTAATGTTAAATGACGAGTCAATGGGTGCAGCACACCAACATGGCACATGTACATATATGTAACAAATCTGCACGTTGTGCACATGTACCCTAAAACTTAAAGTATAATAAATAAATAAAGAAGCTAGAAAAACAAACACAAAGTAAATGGAAGGAAGTGCTAAACAGTAACAAAAAAAAATCAATAAAAACACACCAACAATTGGAAACCTAAAACTTACATTAAGAAGCCAGGCGCAGTGGCTCACGCCCATAATTCCAGCACTTTGGGAGGCCGAGGCAGGCGGATCACAAGGTCAGGAGATAGGATCATCCTGGCTAACACAGTGAAACTCCGTCTCAACTAAAAATACAAAAAATTAGCTGGGCGTGGTGGCGGGTGCCTGTAGTCCCAGCTACTCGGGAGGCTGAGGCAGGAGAAGGGCATGAACCCAGGAGGCGGAGCTTGCAGTGAGCCCAGATGTCACCACTGCACTCCAGCCTGGGCTACAGAACAAGACTCCATCTCAAAAAAAAAAAAAAAAAAAAAAATTACATTAAGAAAAGTTGGTTCATTAAAAAGATGTTTAGATTAATAAACACTTAGCAAGATGAATTAAGAAAAAAAGAGGCTAGGACAAGTGGCTCACACCTGTCATTCCAGAACTTTGGGAGGCCAAAGCAGGCAGATCACTCGGGCACAGGAGTCCCAGACCAGCCTGAGCAACATGGCAAAAGCCAGTCTCTACAAAAAAATACGAAAAATTAGCCGGGCATTGTGGCACGTGCCCGTAGTCCCAACTACTCAGGAGGCTGAGGTGGGAGGATCACTCAAGCCCAGGAGGTGAGCCATGATAGCACCACTGCACTCCAGCTTGGGTGACAGAGTGAGACCCTGTCTCCAAAAAAAAAAAAAAAAAAAAAAAGAGAGAGAGAAAATACAAATTATCAATGAAAGAGTATATTTATAAAATAAACTCTTCCTCCAAAGAAAACTACAGGATCATATAGTTTCACAGGTAAATTCTATCAAATATTAAAGACAGAATAATACTGATCTTCAACAAATTATTTCAGAAAATAGAAGAGGGAACACTTTTCAGCTCAATTTCTGTAACCAGTATAAGCCTCATATCAAAATAGGACAGACTTTGTAAAAGAAAATTACAAATCAGTATCCCTTATGAACAAAGTAGCAAAAAAATCCTCAAGAAAATGTAGCAAAATAGAGCAACACAGAAAAAGAATACACTATGACCAAATGGAAGTTATACAGGAATACATTAGTCCAATATTTGAAAATCAAGGTAATGTAATTCAGTAGCTTTAAATACAGTCTATTCTCATTTTTGAGATGGAGTCTCACTCCCATTGCACAGACTGGAGTGCAGTGGTACAATCTCAGCTCACTGCAACCTCCACCTCCCGGGTTCAGGCGATTCTCCTTCCTCAGCCTCCCGAGTAGCTGGGATTACAGGCATGCGCCACCACGTCCGGCTAATTTTTGTATTTTTAGTAGAGACGGGGTTTCACCATGTTGGCCTGGCTGGTCTTGAACTCCTGACCTCAGGTGATCCACCTGCCTTGGCCTCCCAAAGTGCTGGGATTACAGGCGTGAGCCACCATGCCCAGCCTACTCTCACTTTTCTACACTTTACCCAACGACCTGCTAGAGCCATAGTAACCTTTCAGGAAAAGAATATACATGATTTTTGAGACAAATAGCCCAGTGACAAATTTATAATTAATTACACAGATCAGCAGAGCACTCCAATTCCAGAAAATCAATTTCTAGCCTTCACAGAATTTTAACATTTTGTTCTTTTATCAAAGATCAACATTAGAAAATGAACATGAAGAATATAAAGTTCCTCATCTCTTGCAGAAATAACAAGACTATTTCATTACACTGTACAATGCCCCTTATGTAATGTCCCCAGACAATCCATGCCTAATTTAGTTCTAGTGGAAAAAACATACCTTCCTAATGGTTCCTTTTATTAATGTAATGAACATGATAGGGATGAGAAATGAAGTAAAAAGCCCATGGTTGAGTAAAGATCTCACTATCAATTGAGAATGCATTATGGCAACATAGTGTGATGACACTCAAATGCACTTAAACCCAGAAAACTTGTATAAAGTTTCTCAAGCAAAGAAACTAAAAAACAGAGAAAGCTCATCCTCTTGGGCATATAATAGCTGTAACTGACATCACTGTTGTTATTAGTGCCACTGGTTGTCCCAAAGTTAAGGGGGCCTAGGAAAGCAACGGATCAGAAAATGAGAACTGTGTAAACTCAGATTTCTTCTCTTTAAGCTTTCCTAGGAAATTCTGAAATACATTTTGCATTGAAAAAGCTACCCTCAGCCGGGCATGATGGCTCACGCCTGTAATTCCAGCACTTGGTGGGAGGCCAAGGTGGGTGAATCACCAGAGGTCAAGAGTTCAAGACCAGGCTGACGAACATGGTAAAACCCCCTCTCTACGAAAAATAAAAAATTAGCTGGGCGTGGTGGTGTACGCCTGTAATCCTAGCTACTAGGGAGGCTGAGGCAGGAGAATCACTTGAATTTAGGAGGCAGAGGTTGCAGTGAGCCGATATCGCACCACTGCACTCCAGCCTGGGCAACAGAGTGAGACTCCATCTCAAAAAAAAAAAAAAAAAAAAAAGCTACCCTTAACCAAAGTACTCTGGTACATTTATCTTCTCTTTTCATTATGTAACTCTTCTTATATCTTAGTTGCAGTGCATTTTTATTGGTACTGCCTCAAATTCATTTTAGAAATGAAGAAGATATAAGAAAATATGAAACTAACATAAAGAAGATTATACCCATATCAGAACTGATAAATATTACTTTTCAATAAAGAGGGATAAATGTAACAAAACCATCATAACAGTTTAAAAAAAAAAAAAGGGCTGGGCACGGTGGCTCTAGCCTGTAATTCTAACACTTTGGGAGGCCAAGATGGGGGGATTAACCTGAGCTCAAGAGTTCGACAGCAGCCTGGGCAACATGGTAAAACCCCGTCTCTACTAAAACAGTAAAAAAATCAGCCGGGCGTGGTGGCAGGTGCCTGTAATACCAGCTATGTGACATGCTGAGGCATGAGAATTGCTTGAACCCGGAGGCAGAGGTTGCAGTGAGCCGAGACTGTGCCACTGCACTCCAGCCTGGGCAACAAAGTGAAACTCTGTCTCAATGAAAAAAAAAAAAAAGATGAACTAAGATTTAAACCAAAGGTAAGCGAATAATACTACTAACATTTGTAATGTTTGGTCTCTTTCCAATCAACAAATGTGATGGGTTTACTTTACCTTAATTTCTATCCTTGCTCTGTGAGGAAAAAGTTGTCCGATCATAGAAAAGTCAGTTCCTACCATGCTGATGGCTAAAAAAAACATATCTGTTTCTGTGAAAATAAAAGATTTAGAATGATTGAAAATTAATTATATCAATATTTCAGAGAAAAGAAATCTTACAGAATTTGACAGTACTTAATTTTACTAGAAAGATCCCCATGCAATACCTAAAAACACCTTATTATAAATAAAAACTTTTCAGTATAAGAAATCGTAGGCTGGGCATGGTGGCTCACACCTATAATCCCAGAACTTTGGGAGGCCAAGGCAGGCAGATCATTTGAGGACAAGAGTTAGAGACCAGGGCCGGTCGCGGTGGTTCACGCCTGTAATCCCAGCACTTTGGGAGGCTGAGGCGGGTGGGTCACCTAAGGTCAGGAGTTTGAGACCAGCCTGACCAACATGGAGAAACCCCGTCTCTACTAAAAATACAAAATTAGCTGGGCATGGTGGCACATGCCTGTAATCCCAGCTATGTGGGAGGCTGAGGCAGGAGAATCGCTTGAACCCGGGAAGCGGAGGTTGCAGTGAGCCGAGATCGTGCCATTGCACTCCAACCTGGGCAACAAAAGTGAAATTCCATCTCAAAAAAAAAAAAAAAAAGAGTTTGAGACCAGCCGGGCCAACATGGTGAAACCCTGTCTCTGCTAAAAATAAAAAAAAAATGAGCTGGGCGTGGTGGCGTGCACCTGTAATCCCAGCTACTGGGGAGGCTGAGGCAGAAGAATAGCTTGAACCCGGGAGGCGGAGGTTACAGTGAGCTGAGATGGCGCCACTGCACTCCAGCCTGGGCGAAAGAGCGAGACTCCACCTCAAAAAAAAAGAAAAAGAAATCATACAAAAGCATCTGGAATTTTTTTTTTAAAACATTCATTCTGCCTAGCTGATCTTATTCAAAGTGCTCTGAAGAAAGCTATGAGTCATACTCAGGATAGGGTTACACTACATAGGCAACTAAGATGTGCTAAGTAGTATATAAAGAAAGTAGCTAGAAAAATACACAAGAGGCCACGCACGGTGGCTCACGCTTGTAAATACCAGCACTTTGGGAGGCCGAGGCGGGCAGATCACTTGAGGTCAGGAGTTCCAGACCATCCTGGCCAACATGGTGAAACCCCGTCTCTACTAAAAACACAAAAATTAGCTGGGCATGGTGACATATGCCTGTAATCCCAGCTACTCGGGAGACTGAGGAAGGAGAATCACCTGAACCTAGGAGGTGGCGGCTGCAGTGAGCCAAGATCGCACCACTGCACTCCAGCCTGGGTGACAGAGTGAGACTCGGTCTCAAAAAAAGAAACTACTAACAGAAGTTACACTTCAGGAGAATAGGAATAGGGAAGTGAAAGAAGGGAAGTATAGAATCTTTTTACTCTATATCCTGCTGTTTGAATTTTTCCTCAAAACTACTGTTTTTAAAATAAAAACAATAAGCACCAACATGCAACAGATTTTTAACAGCGTATTTATCTATAGAAGCTTTATTATACAATATTATCTGAGGTAGAACATTATTCGCATTAGAAATGTTGTATTGTTGGCTGGGCACAGTGGCTCACGCGTGTAATCCCAGCACTTTGGGAGGCTGAGGCAGGCGGATCACCTGAGGTCAGGAGTTCGAGACCAGCCTGGCCAACATGGTGAAACCCCATCTCTACCAAAAACACAAAAATTAGCTGGGCATGGTGGCAGGCGCCTGTAATCCCAGCTGCTCGGGAGGCTGAGGCAGGAGAATCGCTTGAACCCAGGAAGCAGAGGTTGCAGTGAGCCGAGATCGCGCCACCGCACTCCAGCCTAGGCGACAAGAGCGAAACTCCATCTCAAAAAAAAAAAAAAAAAGGAAATATTGTATTGTTAATTTTTATTTAAATGGTATTTACTGTAGAGATTTGACAGAGAGGAACATTCCAGCCAAAACGACTATAAAGGTAATTCTTAAAAAATATTTCTTTCAGCAGAACAGTGACTGAAAGAAATTAAAAAAAAAAAAAAATTTCTGGGCTGGGCACAACGACTCACGCCTATAATCTCAACACTTCGGGAGGCAAAGGATCGCTTGAGCCTAGGCATTGGAGACCAGCCTGGGCAACATACTGAGACCTTATTTCTTCAAAAAATCCAAAACACAGGCCAGGTGCGGTGGCTCATGCCTGTAATCCCAGCACTTTGGGAGGCCAAGGTGAGCAGATCACCTGAGGTCAGGAGTTTGAGAGCAGCCTGGCCAACATGATAAAACCCCATCTCTACTAAAAATACAAAAATTAGCTGGGGGTGGTGGCAGATGCCTGTAATCCCAGCTACTTGGGAAGCTGAGGCAGGAGAATCGCTTGAACCCAGGAGGCAGAGGTTGCAGTGAGCCGAGATCGTGCCATTGTACTTCAGCCTGGGCAACAAGAGGGAAACTCCGTCTCAAAAAATAAAAAAATTTTTTTCAAAAAATTAGCTGGGTTTGGTGGCACACGCCTGTAGTGCCAGCTACTCTGGGAGGCTGAGGCAGGAAGATCACATGAGCCCAAGAGTTCAAGGCTGCAGTAAGCTAAGATAGTTTCACTGCACTCCAGCCTCGGCAATCAATCAAGACCCTATCTCTACTTTCTAATTTTTTTTCTTAATTTTTTTGTAGAGATGAGGTCTTGCTTTGTTGCCCAAGTTGGTCTCAAACTCCTGGCCTCAAGTGATCCTCCTGCCTCAACCTCCCAAAGTGCAGGGATTACAGGTGTAAGCCACTGCACCTGGCTGAGACCCAGTTGCTATAAAAAATAAAATTTTTTTGAAGATTTGTAAGACAAAGTCAGAGATACCATTCCATGGAAGGCATAAGATAGAGGTGTCAATAAAATTAGCTGGAATAAAATGGTAGTTTGCATTTTATGTACTTAGGGGAGAACTGATTTAATTCAGAAACAGTCAATTCATTTCAAATAGAGAACTTACACATTTTTAAATGAAAATTAGTTACCTTTATTTGACCATGGTTTAGAGTAATAGTTTTTCCTAAAGCTGGAGTATGTAGTTGTAGAACCGCGCTCAAATATGGGGTCATTTTCTTCAACAACACAAGGGCCTTTTGTTCTTAAAACTTCTACAGTTAAACTGAAATAAACACATTTTTAAATAGATGTATACTAAAAACAAGGAAACAAATAGCAAATGAGATGTAAATAGTTATATTTTGAGGTTTAGCACGGCAATCATATCAAAGGCATAATAATACTTATGTGAAATATGGGTATTTTCCAAGCATCTGCTAAGTTTTACCTACAATGTGATTCCAAGAGGGTAGAAAGAAATGTCAACTCATTTTCAAAATCCATAACAGCAGTATAATATTTACAAAATATCTTTGGGCTACGTATTATAAAACGGTATTTGTATTATTGACTTCCACATGTCTTTGATATTCAATATGTATTACTGTGCTGGACTCCATGGAAATTTTGAAAAACACAAGCACTTTATATTTTACATTCCTGCAGAGAAAGCAGTTAAATATGCTCTAACTATTTAATGACCAGTAAAATCATCATCACAAACTAATGGAAAATAGCACACAAAAACAACTATTATTAGCAGTATTACATTTATGTTTAATTATAGAATGTGAATGCTATAAAATTATTTTTCACTGGCTAAACTTTCAAAGACCTTCCATTGCTTTATTTATTTACTTACTAATTTATCATCTTTTAAAAAAAAACCCTTAAGACAACTAAATTCCACAATGCCCAATGTGCAAAATTTAATGTTATAACTGAGAAATTAAACCAAAAGATGAATTATACCTCACCATAACAAAAATCATAAAATATGTTAAACCTACATTTCACTGTATATCCATTAGTTATCACCACACACCAGGATATGCTCTTAATAATATGAGAACTTGAATATTGACTTCAAGACTGTGTCAATCTTAGAAATTTATCCTCAGTGGAAGACAGCATATGATTAGTTCAACAGCCTGACTCAATGACCAGTAAAGATAATAAAACAATGGTGTTAGGTTAATAGATGATAGGGCATCTTCTCATACAAAATAGTTATAAAAATTACTAAAATTTACAAATTAATCTAACCCACTTTTCTATTTACAATATTCATTATGCAAATAAGAACATCAAGGTCTAAGTGACAAAGGCCAATACAGAAAGAGGACCTCTTTCACTAGACAAAGCATGTTTGTTCTCATGTAACCACAATCTCACTTTTTCTCTTTTCTAAATACCTTTCTTCATCCAAAATAATGGAACCATCTTCTGCCACTTTTACTCGAGGAACCAGTAATGGCCCATCATCTGTCTCTTCTTCCATTTCATTATCTTCAGCATTAGGAGTACTCTTACCTTCTTGCCTACCACATATAAAGATAAGTTAATTCACAAAGGCATGAAAAGTGTGCCTAAATAGTATAAAACTTAAAATAAATGATTACAAACTCAACCTTCTAGCTATTTCCAACTTTCCCTATAATCCAAATGAAAACAGTATGTGTTATTAAGGACGCAATTAGAGGATTTTCTCAAGTTTTATCTCGAGACATTTAGTAAGAAGTCTTATTTTTTTTTTTAGATGGAGTTTCGCCCTGTCACCCAGGCTGGAGTGCAGTGGCATGATCTCGACTTACTGCAACCTCCGCCTCCTGGGTTCACACCATTCTACTGCCTCAGCCTCCCCAGTAGCTGGGATTACAGGCGCGCACCTCCACACCTAGCTAATTTTTGTATTTTTAGTAGAGACGGGTTTTCACGATGTTGGCCAGGCTGGTCTCAAACTCCTGACCTCGTGATCCACCCGCCTCAGCCTCCCAAAGTGCCGGGATTACAGGCGTGAGCCACCGTGCCTGGCCCAAGCAGTCTTTACTCTCTTTTAAAATAAAGAGAAACAGACAGGACATGGTGGTTCAGGCCTGTAATCCTAGCAATTTCAGAGGCCAAGGCAGGAAAATCACTCGAGGCCAGGAGTTGAGATCAGCCTGGGCAACATAGCAAGACCTTACCACTACAAAAAAAATTTAAAAATTAGCCCAGCATGGTGATGCGTGCCTATAGTCCCAGCTACTCAGGAGACTGAGGCAGGAGTATCTCTTGAGGCCAAGAGTTTAATCACACCACTGCACCCCAGCCTAGGTGACAGTGCAAGACCCTATCTGTAAAAATAATAATAATAATAATAATGCTTATAGTTATATAGCATTAGTTTCTAGATTATTTGATTAACTTTTCAGTACAATCCTTCAGGGTTAGTATTTTCATGCTCATTTGAGCCTTAAGGAAAATGGCCAAATGCAGCAGCTCATGCCTGTAATCCTAGTACTTTTGGAGGCTGAGGCGAGAGGATTACTTGAGCTTAGAAGTTCAAGACCACCAGCCTGGGCGACATAGTGAAACCTTATCTCTATGAAAAAAAACTCTTCAAAAACTAAAAACTTTAGGCTGGGCATGGTGGCTTACACCTGTAATCCCAGCACTTTGGGAGGCCGAGGCGGGCCGATCACGAGGTCAAGAGATGGAGACCATCCTGACCAACGTGGTAAAACCCCGTCTCTACTAAAAATACAAAAATTAGCTGGGCATGGTGGCGCACACCCGTAGTCCCAGCTGCTCGGGAGGCTGAGGCAGCAGAATCGCTTGAACCCGGGAGGCAGAGGCTGCAGTGAGCCGAGATCGCACCACTGCACTCCCGCCTGGTGACAGAGCAAGACTCCATCTCAAAAAAAAAAAAAAAAAAAAAACTAAAAAATTTAGCCAACCGTGGTGGCACACACCTGTACTCCCAGCTACTCAGGAGGCTGAGGCAGGAGGATCACGAGCCCAGGAGGTCAAGGCTGCAGTGAGCTATGTTCACACCACTGCACTCCAGCCTAGGTGACACAGCAACATCCTGTCTCAAAAATTAAATTAAAATTTTAAAATTACAAAAACAATAGCCCAACCAAATGTAATTTTTTTTTAAGAGACAAAGTCTTGCTCTGTCACCCAGGCTGGAATGCAGTGGCGTGATCATAGTTCACTACAGCCTTGAACATGTGGGCTCGAGCGATCCTCCCACCTCAGCCTCCTGAATAACTAGGACTACATGTACACACCACCATGCACAGCTTATTTTTACATTTTTTGTAGAGACAAAATGTCACTATGATGCCCAGGCTGGTCTCAACTCCTGGCTTCTGGCAATCCTCCCATCTTGGCTTCGCAAAGTGCTGAGATTACAGGAGTGAACCACTGTGCCCAACCCCAATCAAATGTAATTCAACTATAACAGGAAGCACCATTTGATCTCATTTCTTAAAAAATGTAGGAATAGAATATATTCAAAAATAAAATACTTACTCTCTTGTCTGGACTGGAGTCGATGGCTTTTCAGTTTTCTTTTCTTGTTCCAGTGAAGAACTATTGAACATAAATAACAATATCTTTAATAAATTATTAATTTATATCTTCCCAATTCTATCTGTAGGCAAGAAGAAAATTATTCTAACTTCTAATTTTTAATGATATATCACAGCATTTCGTTAATGACAGTACAATCCAACAATCAACTTTTCAGTCAAAAGCTTGTCATCACATACAAATAATTTGTTAGGTCCTAAGTAAAGAATACTTTTTTTTTTTTTTTAATACAACAACAGGGTCTTGCTGTGTCAGACTGAAGTGCAGTGCTGTGATCTCAGCTCCATGTAACCTCTACTTCTTGAGCTCAAGCAATCCTCCCACCTCAGCCTCCCACGTAGCTGGGACTACAGGTGCATGCCACCACACCAGGCTAATTTTTGTCTTTTAATTTTTTGTAGAGACGAGGTCTCACCATATCGCCCAGGCTGGTCTCAAACTCCTGGGATCATGCAATCCTCCCACCTTAGCTTCCCAAAACACTGAGATTACAGGCATGAGCCACCACGCCCAACAGAGAATGTTCTTATCCTCTAACTTCTCAGTGAAAGGAGGCTCCCAATCCCAAGGCATGAAGCAGCTTACTTAGGTGACTTGTCTCCAACTCCTGGATGTTAAACAACTCAAAACCTAGGTTTCTGGCCCTTTCTTCAACAGGGCCAAAGACCTGGTGAATCTGAAAAAGGGCTATGCTGAGGAACTGTCCCAACTCCTACCTCTACCTGCTAAACCATCAACAATACAACAATGAGATTTATTATAAACCTGCCTCAGAAACCCCAGGCTAACTTTAATAAAGAAGCTTTGTTCTTGGAGGATTTATTAATCACACTACTACTGTCTTTATTAGAAGGCAGGGCATAAAACTTGGATCACTCCTTTAGATCAGTTTATAGTATGTTAAAAATAGAAATTCCAATCCTTTCAAACATTTTTTTTTTAAATGAGACAGAGTCTCGCTGTCTCCCAGGCTGGAGTGCAGTGGTGCAATCTTGGCTCACTGCTGCCTTGAACTCCCAGGCTCAAGTGATCCTCCCACCTCAGCCTCCTGTGCGCCACAATGCCCAGGTAATTTTTGTATTTTTTGTAGAGATGGGGTCTCACTACATTGCCCAGGCTGGTCTCAAACTCCTGGGCTCAAGCAATTCTCTCGCCTTGGCCTCCTAAAATGCTGTGATTACAGGGATGAGCCACCTCGCCTGGCCAAAATTGCAATCTTGATTACAGAAAAGTGGCTTAGTTGGTTTCACTATGCCTTGGTAACTAATATAACAAAGAAAAAACATTTTTTTTTTTGAGACAGGATCTCGCTCTGTCACCCTGAGTGCACCCAGAATGCAGTGGCATGAACATGGTTCACTGCAGCCTCAAATGCCAGGGTTCAAGCAGTCCTCCTGCCTCAGCCTCCCAAATAGCTGGAACTACAGGCACATGCCACCATGCCTGGCTAATTTTTGTACTTTTTGTAGAGACAGGGTTTCACCATGTTGCCCGGGCTGGTCTCAAACTCCTGGACTCAGGCGGCCCACACACCTTGGTCTCCTAAAGTGCTGGGATTACAGGCATGAGCCACTGTGCCCAGCCAGGAAATTTATTTTTAATCTCAGAAATAAAGGGCATAATCTACCATCCCCAGAAAGCAGTTACTTGAAATACTGCTACTTTTTGTTATGAAATTCTATTTAAAAGGACATATGTGTTCCAAATTTTGTCAACATGTTTTTGGAAAACTAAAAAATTTACTATAAAAGTGCTATTTATATAACTACATACCCAAATAAAGTAAAACAGAAGGCCAGGTGCAGTGGCTCACGCCTGTAATCTCAGCACTTTGGAAAGCCGAAGCGGGTGGATCACCCGAGGTAAGGAGTTTAAAACCAGGCAAGCCAACATGGCGAAACCCAGTCTCTACTAAAAATACAAAAATTAGCCGGGTGTGGTGGCGAGCATCTGTAATCCCAGCTACCCGCGAATCTGAGGCAGGAGAATCGCTTGAACCTGGGAGGCAGAGGTTGCAGTGAGCCAAGATTGCACCACTGCACTCCAGCCCGGGTGACAGAGCGAGACTCCACCTCCAAAAAAAAAAAAAAAAAAAAAAGAGATAGTAAAGCAGAAATAAATTTTACTTACGTCATTGGATTATTATCTGGTAGATAATATATGAAGTCTCTCATAGTCATTTTTGAACGATCTGGTGGCCTCTGACTTTCATTTATAGCATATTTGTTTTTCCATTGTTTCTGTATACATAAACACACAGATCCACTTTTATAAATATTAAAGAATTTCAGATGTACTATATGCAAATATACAGTCCACTGTTGCGTTCACTGTAAGTGCTTTAATATTATTCTCACCCCAATTATGTAATTTTGTAGATGGAATATTAAAAAGTTGTAGCACATTACCCTCAATAGCTTTTAGTTTTTATTTATCTACTTTTGAGATGGGGTTTTGCTCTGTCATCCAGGCTAAAGTGCAGTGGCGCAATCATAGCTCACTGCAGCCTTGAACTCCTGAGCTCAAGCAGTCCTCCCACCTCAGCCTCCCAAGTAGCTGGGACTACAGATGCTTGCCTAACACCTGGCTAATTTTGTGGGGTTTTTTTTTTTTTGGTAGAGATGGAGTCTCCCTACGTTGCCAAGGCTGCTCTCAAATTCCTGGGCTCAAGTGATCCTCCTGCCTCACACTCCTAAAGCACTGGAGTGAACCACACACCCAGGCAGTATTTAGATTTTAACAATTAAAGTGACTAGGACTAGATAAAAGCTCAATGTGGCCAGGCACAGTGGCTTATTTCTCTAATCCCAGCACTTTGGGAGGCTGAGGCAGGAGGATCGCTTGAGCTCAGGAGTTACCAGCCTGGGCAACATAAATGAGACCCTATCTCTACAAAAAAATACAAAAAAATTAGCTGGATGTGGTGGCATATGCCTATAGCCACAGCTACTTGGGAGGCTGAGGTGGGAGGATCACTTGAGCCTGGGAGGTTGAGGCTGCAGTGAACTGCAATTATACTAGCGCACTCCATCCTGGGTGACAGTGAGACCTTGTCTCAAAACTAAATAAATAACCAAAGAATAAAACTAATAAAGCTCAATGTATAAAATGCTTACTGATGCCTTCTAACTAAACATCTTAATAGCTCACTGAGAATTTATGCTTACACAGCTTTTTTTTTTACCCTGTAGTGACTTGAAATTCTGTGTATTTTGTAAAATTCTTGAAGCAAATGTTTAATCTTTAATTCCCCAAAATAAATTAAATAAGCAAATAAGCAGTTTCTGTAAAATACAGAACTTTTTTTTAATCCCCCCACCCCCAATTCCCAACCCATAAAACATTTTTAGAGGCTTTGATCTGTCGCCCAGGCTGGAATGCAGTAGCACAATTTCAGCTCACTGCAACCTCCGCCTTCCAGGTTCAAGCAATTGTTGTGAGGCTTACATTTTAGAAGACATAAATTGAAAGCTTGTTTTCTCCTGTGTGAAACAGTGATATCTACTTCACATAGTTGATATAATTACATAAGATAACAGATATAAAGCACCAAGCAAAATGCCTTCCCTTAATTTAAAAAAAACTAAGAGGCATTTTATAATTCATAACAGAAGCTGACACTGGTTGGACACTTACTATTTTCATGACACTAGTTTTTTTGTTTGGTTGGTTTTTTTTGAGACGGAGTCTCGCTCTGTCACTCATGCTGGAGTGCAATGGCACGATTTTGGCTCACCGCAACCTCTGCCTCCCAGGTTCAAGCGATTCTCCTGTCTCAGCCTCCTGAGTAGCTGGGATTACAGGCGTGCACCACCACGACCAGATAATGTTTGTATTTTTAGTAGAGACGGGGTTTCACCATGTTGGCCAGGCTGGTCTCGAACTCCTGACCTCAGGTGATCCGCCCACCTCGGCCTCCCAAAGTGCTGGGATTACAGGCGTGAGCCACTGCACAAGGCCCAAGACACCAGTTTAAGTGTGTTTTACATGTATTGACTCATTTAATCTTCACAACCCTCTAATGAGCTAGACAGAGGTTGAGCATCTCTTATCTGAAATACTTGAGACCAGAAATGATTCACATTTTGGATTTTTTCACATTTTTGAATACTTGCAGAATACATGCTGGCTGAGCATCTCTAACCTGAAAATTTGAAATCCAATATGCTCCAATGAGCATTTCCCTGGAGCATCACTTTGGCACTCAAAACATTTTAGACTTTGGAGCATTTTCAATTTCAGGGATGCTCAACCTGAACTATTATTGGTCTATTTTACAGATGAGGAAATAGATTAATTAAATTACCCAAGGTCACAAAGCTAGTAAAGAAATGAAGCTGAGATTCAATCCCTAAGTATTTAACTCCAGGGCCAGCATGCTCTACTGCTGTTACCTGCCCTTCTAGAAAAGAAATCAATCCTCAAGATTAAAAAGAACATGGACTCTAATATATGCATAACACAAATTTTTCCCACTTGTAATTTTCCATAGTCAATTTAGAAAACATTACCAATTCATTCTGCTCAACTATATTCGTCTTTTTTTTGGAGACAGTTTCACTCTATCACCCAGGCTGGAATGCAGAGGCACAATCTCGGCTCACTGCAACTTCCACCTCCCAGGTTCAAGCAATTCTCATGCCTCAGCCTCCCCAGTAGTTGGGATTACAGATGCACGTCACCAGGCCCAGCTAATTTTTGTATTTTTAGTAGAGACAGGGTTTTGCCATGTTGGCCAGGCTGGTCTTGAACTCCTGACCTCAAGTGATCTGCCCCCCTAGTCCTCCCAAAGTGCTGGGATTACAGGCAT